>NC_000003.12:193856573-194007573 GCF_000001405.40 Homo sapiens
TACACAGACCAAAAGAGAAGCCCCAGTATCTGTAAAGAGCCTATGGTACGTAGTAACTATAACCAGGAATGACACGGAAACTGCTGCCACTTAAGTGCACTCCACAAATTCACGGGGATGATGGGATGCCCAGGTATCAGAAGCCAACTGGAAGACACTCAATCACCAGACATGAGGTAGTTACTGTAATGAACAGCAGAGCCAAAACATTAACTGGAATGGTTTGATCTGCAGAAGGTTGATCATGGTGTCCCTGAAACTGAAATAGATGTGTGGCCTACTCAAGTCTTACTTGATTTACGTAAGTTGAAAAGGTCTGGGTCTGGTGAAAGAGGTGATGATCACAATAGAGAATCATGACATCCCTAATTAATTCTGAGACTTCAGCCAGTTCTTATTCAAATGAAAGGGGAGTGGATCCCTTCAGGAAGGAATCTACTACTTGGCCCAAAACTTATACAGTAAATCTTTTTTCCAGCATTTCCCAAAGGAAGTTGAGGACATCTATCAGTATGGATATGTATTTGGAAAGAGAAAATTACTATGCCTTTTAGCAATTACTAGGTGTTGGCTCTAAGCTGACACTAATTTCAAGAGACTGAAAATGCCAGAATGGCCCACAGTTAGAATAGGGGTTTATGGAGATCAGGTGATCAGTGTAGGTTTTGACTTGGGTCCATCTCACAGCGGACTTGGTGTGTCCCTGAGTGTCTTGTAGTTATTTTCCAAGTTCCAGAATTGGTCATCTTAGGAACAGATATACCAAACGACTAGCAGAAGTGCCATACAGGTTTCCTTCTCCATGGGGTATGGTGAGAAAAACCAAGTGAAAGCCAGTAGAATCTCCTCTACCTACAAAAGCATAAACTAAAGAAATATCATCTTCCTGGGGGTATTGCAGAAATTGGTGCCACCATCAAGGCTTGAAAGATATAAGGATGGTATATCAAGGCTTGAAAGATAAGGATGGTGAATCCCATTCAAATTGCTTATTTGGCCCATGCCAAGACACGTAGATCTTGGAGAATAACAGTGGCTTATCATAAACTTGATTGAATGGTGACTGTAATTGCAGCTGCTTTCCCAGGTGTTATTATTTTTTTTCTGAAGAAACTAGTACAACCTCTAATAGCTCTTAATCTGACCAGTGCTTTGTTGCCACCCCCTATACCTTGATAAAGACCCACCAGAAATAGTTTGCTTTCAGGGACAGCATTACACCTTCACTGTTCTACGTCAGGTCTGTATTAACTCCCAGTCTACTGTCAAAATCTAATCCCAGGGATCCTGATAGCCTCTCCATCCCACAGAGTATCACATAGGCCTATGCCACTGATGATAGTATGATAATTGGTCCTGGTGGGCAGGAAATAGCAAATAATCTGGATACTTTGGTAAGAATAATGCAAGCAGACAGGGGAAAATGAATCCCACAAAAATTCGAGGGCCGGCCATTTTGGTGAAATGTCTATGAGTCCAGTGGTCAGAGGATGTTGATATATTCTGTCCAACATGAAGGAGAAGTTGCAGCATCTGGCCTTTCTTACCACTAAGTAAATGGCAGAATGCCTAGTGAACCTCTGGAAGCAACTTCATTTGCTCATGCTACTTCAACTCATTTATTGAGTAACCTGAAAGGCTGCCAGTTTTGAGTGCAGTCCAGAAAATGAGAAGACTTTGCAACAGATTCAGCCTACTAGGCAAGCTCCACTGCCACCTAAATGATTCAGCACATCTAATTTTGCTAAAAGGATCTGTGGCAGATAAGGAAGCTGTATAGAACTGTGCACAGGTCCCTCGAGGGGTAAGTCTCAACACAGACCTTTAGGGTTTGGACAAAACTATGCCATGCTTTGCAGATAATTATTATCCCTTTAAGAAAAGCTCCTGACTTGCTACTGGGTCTGATAAGAGATTGAATGCCTTGGTCAGGCACGGTGGCTCACACCTGTAATCCCAGCACTTTGGGAGGCTGAGGCAGATGGATCGCCTGAGATCAGGAGTTCAAGACCAGCCTGGCCAACATGGTGAAAACCCATCTCTACTAAAAATACAAAAAAAATTAGCCAGACGTGATGACAGGCGCCTGTAATCCCAGCTACTCAGGAGGCTGAGGCAGGAGAATCACTTGAACCCGGGAGGCAGAGGTTGCAGTGAGCCAAAGTCATGCCATTGCACTCCAGCCTGGGCAACAAGAGTGAAACTCTGTCTTTAAATAATAAAAAAAAAATAAAAAGATTGAATGCTTCACCATGCCACCAAGTTACCATGTGACCTGAGCTGATCATCATGAATTGAGTCTTGTCCCTGTGAGTTCCGGCCTGTCCAGTGCTCTTTTGTTTCCACTTTTCTTTCTGCTGCCTTTCCTGCAGACCTACAGGAACTTCAGGCCACTATCAAATGCAAAGCCTTACGCAGACTTCTTTACCTGCCTCCCTTTGTGGGGCCTGGTGGGTGACTTTTCTCTGAGTCTTCAACTGTTCCCATCCAGGTCTTCACTCCCCCGGCTTCCATCACAACTGTGATGGCCACGTGCCTATCACGAATCCTTTATTCTACATCACTCATAGTGGTTCTGCTTTCCTCATCAAACCCAAATTGGTACAACTGCATATTATGTACATGATTACATTAAATTTTTATAACAACTCTGCCTGGTAGATTTAATCCCCTAGTTTTATAGATACAGAAGCTGAGAACTGAGGCAGTTTGCCCAGGGTCTTGTATTTAATCTGTGGGAACAGGAATCAGATCCCACCCATGTCCATCTGACTGCAGAACAGCCCCGCATTGTTTGTGGGGAGCATAAGGTGCTCGCCAACCTGCATCCGGCCCCACCCCTAGGCTGAGTCATCAGTGCATAGGTTGTTTCCATGCACTTCTTGGTCAACCCAGCCAGTGAGACACTGGGACCTGCCCACTCAAGTGCTCTCCTTTCTTTGTGTCCTATTTGGTTTATTAAATTTTAAAACACATTTAAGTTATGAAATATTTCAAATATACAGAAAAGTCCAGAAAGTAATATAGCAGACATTCTTTTCTTTTTCTTTTTTTTTTTTTTTTTTTGAGATGGAGTCTCACTCTGTCGCCCAGGCTGGAGGGCAGTGGCGCGATCTCGGCTCACTGCAAGCTCTGCCTCCCGGGTTCGCGCCATTCTCCTGCCTCAGCCTCCTGAGTAGCTGGGACTACAGGCACCCACCACTGCGCCCAGCTAATTTTTTGTATTTTTATTAGAGACAGGGTTTCGCCTTGATCTCGATCTCCTGAGCTCGTGATCCACCCGCCTCAGCCTCCCAAAGTGCTGGGATTACAGGCGTTAGCCACCTCGCCTGGCCTATAGCAGACATTCTTATAGTCAACATTCAAAATTCCTATATTTGCTTCCACTTAATTTTGTTTTCGAAAAAGAAAAAAATATGAAAACAAAGATACGTTTGTTTGAGCATTGTTTGCCAATAGCCACCAATATAAATGAATAAATAAATGTGATGTTCAAATGCAAATAAATACCATATAATAATTAATAAAGTAGATCCATATTTTGAGAGGAAAGGGCAAATTGCAAGTGAATAAGAACAATAGAAATCATAGTATTCATGTACATTTAAAAAACCAACAGACCCATACTAGTACATGGCTGCAAAATCTTAAACTCTTTTTCAGAGCTGTTCCCTTAGGGTTTCTACCCTCATTCAAAGCATCCTTCATTCTCTCCATCTCTGCCTCCCTTTCCATCTTAAGGACTTTCCTGAAATGCCATTTTATCTCCTTCCACTTCCACCTCTTGGCACCAGCAGCCCAACCAGTATGCGTCTGCTTCTGTAACACCATTCAGGAATTTATGATGATGTTTTGCATGGTAAAGCTTCATTATGGGCCTTCCTCTGAAAAAGCAATTCATTGTACTTATTTACAAATATTATAGCACTTCAGATCTGAAATGGATCCAATAGCACACCAACATCTGATTATATGTCTAGGATGCCCCTCAAGCCTCCTTTAGTGATAAACCATAACAAAAAGTTCAGTGATACCAGGTTTTGGTGAGTATAGAGAAAGGTAGGAATTTTAGGGCCCTACTGGTGGGAGTAGGGACTGGCATAACCATCGTGGAAGACTGCTTAATGGTTTCTGCTAAGGATGGAGATATGCCAACCTCTTATAACCTAGTTATTCCACTTCCGGGAAAATCCTAACAGAAATGTGTGCAGCATGGATAGGAATGTTCCCAGCAGCACCATTCAAAATAGTCCCAAACTAGGAACAACACAGATGCCCTTTGAAAGTCAAATGGATAAGTAAATGGTGGTGTGTTCTTACGTTGTGGTGGTGAAAATATGCCAACGGCAGTCTCACACAAGCAGGGATGGTGTGGCCCCTAATTTTGAGAGAGGGAAGCCAGACCCAAAAGAGTACATGCATACGATTCCATCTCCATCTCCGCCTCCCTTTCCATCTTAAGGACTTTTCTGAAATGCCATTTTATCTCCTTCCACTTCCACCTCTTGGCACCAGCAGCCCAACCAGTATGCGTCTGCTTCTGTAACACCATTCAGGAATTTATGATGATGTTTTGCATGGTAAAACATCATATGGAGATCAAAGACAATCAGAATCACACTGTGTTGTTTAGAGACCAGCAGTGCATACTTAGCTGGTGGGAGGAGAGAACAGTAGAGAGGTGGTTGCCATAAAAGTCAAGATAAAAGTTATTTTTGGTGGGAAGGGCTATGACAGGAAGGGGAGTGAAATGCTGCCAATGCCTTGTTACTTGTCCTGGGTGGTGGCTGTGCAGGTGTTTGTTTTATAACAGTTTGTTTTGCTGTAATTTATGTTTTATAAACATTTCTGTATGTATTCTGTATTTGAAAATAATAATAATTTTTGAAACCACCACAGATCACAGCACTTATAAGTTCACAGTGAGAGTGCAAAGGATACTTTGCAAAGTTCTTTCAAGAAATCTTAAATTCTCAAGTGCCACGCGGGCAGTGATTTCCCCCGTGAAATTTCTATATGCTGTCCAAGAAACATCTTTTTAGACATCTTCACTTTCAAAAGAGGCATTTTTTTTTCAAAGAAGATTTTATCACTTATCAGAATATGTTGCCTGATAGAGAGTCTAAATGGGCAGCATGAACCCTGTTCTCCCGAGTAAAGTGATGCACCAGGGGCCCCCTCTTCACAGTGTACCCTGTTTCAATTCCAAGTCCCAGACCCTTGAGAACCTCTGGAATAACTGATACCAAAAAATGCTAGTCCTCTGAATACAGTGATAGCTAACAGTTTCACCCTGCAATTTGTTCATTCCCCTTTATGGAGGAGAAAATGGAGGCACAGGGTAGTTAAGGAACTACTGTCACCATCTAGGAAACAAACAGAGGCCCTCTGGCTCTGGAGCCTGCATGAGTAACCACCCAACCATCCTACCTCCCCCACTATTGTCTAAATTAGATATCAGCACATGTTGGGGAAAATGTTTAAATTCTCCTTCTCCCCATGGTCAAAAATATCATTTTTTTCTCTTCCAAGATGTCTCTCGATTCTGTCCTTTATTTTCATTTCCCCGGCTTAACATTGGCCAACTCCATCCCTCACCTGGTTTATTGCACGTTCTCTCTATATCCAACTCCTCTCTCCCCAGCCATAAATCCTTTGATGGTTCCCTACTGTCTGCCTGGTCTAGTCCTGACCCTCACCACGACCAAAGCGCTTCATGGCCTGGCCTTTGCCTTTTCTTCAAGTTTCATCTCCTACTCACCTCTTTGCATATCTACCTGCTAACAATCCCAGACTATGTACCATACCCTCATGTACCAAGGACGTTCTAACTACAGTTAGAAGTTCCTCTGCTGGCCGTTCCTCCTGTCCTCTCCTTCCTCTCTCTAATTCTATTTATCCTTCAAGACCAGTGCAAATACCACCTTTTCTGGGGAGCATTCTCTGAAGCCATCCAGCCTAAACCTCTCTCCTCAATCTTGCTGTATCTCTTGTCGCTTTTATACGAGTCTGCTCAGGCTGATATTTGCCCAACTGCCCTCCCACTAGTCTAAACTCTTGAGGGTAAGGGCTGTGTCTTAGCTACATTTTGATCCCAAAGTCTGTCATAAAACAGCATGAGCTATTCAGTTCATATTAAATGAATCTGTATCACCCAGTTAAGTTTCTGTCCAAGGGTGAGGATTTACATGTCACTATGATATTCTTTTGTCCTAACATTCTGGCCTGGTTCCTCCTGGAGAAAGATGGCTAAAGCAGAAGTCAGGGGGACAGAGTTGTTTCCTGGCCAACGGGAGACAGCTGATACTGGGAACAGCATAGAGGACCACTCACTTTGGGTATAAGTCTGGCTGGAAAATCCACCTGAAACAGATTTTCCCTGCCTCAGTCTGGGACTCCAAAGACTGGTTCGCCAAGGTGAATCAGGACAAGAAGTGGAAAATTCCTCCTTCACATTTCACTGGGAAACTTGAACCAGAAATCAATGTGTCAGGCCCAGCCTGTCTCGTTTTTCCAGACAAGACTCCCTGATTCTCCAGTCTGCCCTGAGAGGTGCTGCAGCAGAAACAGCGCAAAGCTGCTGAAGACTTTCATGTGGCTTCTCCTGTTAGAAAATCACAGCCCCCCCACCTCTAGAAGCCTGTGGAACACAGCATCATGGAGAATCTGGCTTTTCTTCCAGGCAGGGCATGGGAACTATTTTTCAAGGGAAAGGACGTGCATAATTGCTGGGGAAATATACACATTTAATTTCTCTGGAGCCCTTGAAGCTTTCTTCCTTAAATAAATCATTCTGCAGGATCCTGTGACCTGAGACCTGGAAGTGGTTTTGTTTTGACCTGGAGCCACGGCCTCCAGAGAGAGGAAGTCTGTCCCATTTGGATGCCTATGTGAACGCACACGACGTGGCTTTACTCTCCCCCAAAATGGGCAGACGAGGTGGAGTTGCTAGAGTCTATCATGTAGGTCCTTTTCAAGAGCTGAGCAGGTACATGACCACCTGTCTGCCTTATACATTAAAAAGAATAGGAAACCATTATCTTGAGACAGGTGATGAGGGCTGCAAGCTTGGGTAAGGGGATTTTTGGAAGCTTTTGAGAAGCTGTATGTTGGAGCTGACAGAGAAAGCAGAAACCGTCTTTGACAAACCCCTTTATTTACAGAGCAGGACACCAAGGTCCAGAGAGGGAAATCCTGTCACCAGTGTCCCCAAGGACTGCCTGTATGAAGTCGCCTTGGAACTGGTCACAAAAACCACTTCTGGGCCTCATCGCAGATGCAGGATCTCTGAGGATTTCCCTAGGAACCAGAGTTTGACGCACTTCCCAAGTAGTTCTGATGTACTCTGAAGCTTTGGAAGCTGTGCTAAGTTCTCTGGACTTTCTGCTTGGACGCAGGTTGGGTCCAGCCTTCACACAGGCCTCGGCTGTTTCTTCATCTGCCTCTCTCTGCCTGCCCCTCCAATTACCATCAGTCCCTCCTGAGCTTCCTCACTTCCAGGTCACCTCTCCCTGCTGGCCTCCCTTCCAGGCCACCCATCTAAGGCTCCTGCATTCTAAGCTGCCAACATCAGGAGAGGGAACAGCACGCTCTGTTCAGGAATGTCGAGCTGGACAGGGCCCAGGAGAGGATCCAGTGCTGCCCCTCCTCCCTGCTCCCCATCCATATAGGTTTCTTTCTCTGTTCCCCCTTGTGTATTAAATGCTGACATTGCTCATGGAAGCAATAGCATCTGCTGTTTCCGGAAGCTGGAAGCACTGTGTGGTCTCAAGAGGGTCCTGGAAGATGCTAAGGGCTTTGGAATTTAGGGACTCGCTCAAGGCTTATTATAAACTGAGTCCTTGGATGATTGAAAAAGAGTAACCATTTTGCCAAATGTCTGTGCTATGGTTTAGAGCTTTGCTAAGTTCATACAATGTTATAATCGGTTCCTCCCATACGACCACCTACAGCCATCAGCCATTAATTTATGTGCATGTCTTTTTGAAATTCCTTTGTGAGTGATACTTACTTGAAGCCAGGGTGGTTAGTCTTAAAGCAAGCAGAGAAGAGGGATGGAAGCCCGTGGCTGTGGAATCTGGTCAACACGAGGCCACATTCCTGCCTCACCTGGTATAGTTGCTGGGCCTGGGGACCTGTCCGACTCCTCCCTACAGCTCCTGTTTTCTCACCTGAAAAGTGATTGTAATTTCTACTTCACAGATGTTCTACCATCTAGAAGCACTGTGCCTGAGGCCAGCACATAGATAGAGAGTGTTTCTTTTCTGTTCCTTACCTTTTTAAGCTGCTATTTGAGACAATTTGCTGCAGACTCTCTAGGCCCAGTTCCCTGTGCTCTAACACTCTTCCTCGTAGTAAGAGGACTCTTCTGGAAAGAACTCTTAAGTTGTTAAAGATAGAAAAGTAATCTCATGAGGATGCAAAGGCATAAGATACAATGTACTTTGGGGACGTGAGGGGAGCGGGGAAGGAGGACGAGGGATAAAAGACTACTCATTGGGTACAGTGTACACTGCTTGGGTGATGGGTGCACCAAAATCTCGGTAATCACCACTAAAGAACTTATCCATGTAATCAAATAACCACGTGCTCCCCAAAAACTATTGAAATAAATGAAAATAAAAAATAAAAATATCTGCAGTGGCTCACGCCTGTAATCCTAGCACTTTGGGAGGCCAAGGTGAGTGGATCTCTTGAGCCCAGGAGTTCCAGACCAGCCTAGGCAACATGGCAAGACCTCATCTCTACAAAAATAATAAAGTAAATAAAATAAAAAGAAGGAAATGGAACTATATGTACTGGTAGAGAAAGATGTCCAAGATGTCCAAAAAAAGCAAGTTGGAGAGCAACAAATAATATAATCCTATTTTCTAAAATAAATATTTTGCTGGGGTAAAAAAAAAGAAAAGTAAATTCTGAGTCACTACCATTGAAATGACTGTATCTCAGATGAGTACTTGAGATTCAGTCTGTCATGGTGGCCACCTTAAGAGGAACTGGAACCAAATTACCTAAGTTAGACTAGACAACAGCTAAGGCTCTTCTCCTTCTTATGATTCTATGATAACAAATTTGGCTTGACCTTTAAGGCCCTTCATAATCCCAGTCAAGCCCGTCTTACAGACTCATCTAACATTATTCCTCTAAACTCCATATTCCTTCCACGCTGTGCAGTTTACAGTGTCCCACCCATATCATGCCCCATCCTGCAACCAGACTTCTGATTCTTATACTTTCCACTCTTCCTCCCCTTTCCAATATTAGATTCCACCCATTCTTGAAGGCCCTCTTCCCTCAAGCCCCTCCTGCTTCCACAGTGGCAGTACACACTCCAGCCTTCCATCTGCGTTTCTCTTGCAGTGCTCCTAGCAAACTACCTTGTATTCTGGGTATATGGAAACATGTCTTATCAGACCACATCTTACTGGACTCTCTGAGGACAGCTCCTGGGTCTCAGTTTTTCTCAGAATGCCTCTAGCACCTGGCACACAAAAATTGTGCATGAAATGTTTATTGAATTGAGCCAAGGAATTCCAAGAATTAATTCACATAGACTCAGTAGACTCAGTGTTTGGTTTGAGCATTTTTCTTATTCAGGGCATGCTGGCAACAAGGATCAGGTACCCTCTGGAACAATTTCAAATGAAAAGAGGGATTATTAAAAGGATACAGGGGTCTGTTGTTGACCTCCAAGGACAGGAAGTGAGAAAGGATGAATCACAAAAGAACAAAAAAGATCTCCTCTCTGTGTCCTTCAAGGGGCTACGGGGGTTCTTGTCACCCCTAACTCTTTCTGCGTGTCAACTCTCTTCTCCTCTTGGCAGACTGGACCTCTCTGGAAGGCCCTTCGTTTTCTCTCTCCCACAGTTCAGGCTTGCCTGTGGCTCCTGCTGTGTTCTGCATGGTACTAGCTCCTGTCCTGCTGTCTCAGGACCTTTCAGTTCAAGCATCCTCCTAACCTGAGTCTCTGTGTCTCTTACCTCAAATTCTCTCTCTCAAAAAAAAAAAAAGGTGGGGGGGATTGGCTGGGCCAGAATTTGGCCCAAAGCCACCACTGGTCTGTGGTGACCAGGAGCAATACCATATGATTTCCCAGGCCCCACCCTTTCAGCAAGAGGCTGGAATTTGGGGGGAGGGTCGTGATGTTTCCTACTAACTGGCCATTAGCTGGATCATCATTTCCAAAGGAATCTAATACAATAATGTCCACAAAAAGCAGTGAAGGATACAGAGACCACAAAATAGATCCACAACGTGGGACAGAGTGTCATTGGCCTCCCAACAGTTTCACAGGAGCCCCTTGGATGCTGCAGAGCATGGGTCTCTGGGGACTGGAGGAGCTGAGGGCCACTCCCAGGTTGGCTCAATCTCCCTGAGAACCTTTTCTTTGCATTTTTGTTTTCTTCCCAGGAGCAGGCAAGTCTGACTAGATGGATATTTCTGGTCTTCTCTCAGTAGCCAACAAAGGCAATGCCAGGGTTGACAGGAAGAGAGCTGGGGAGAAGGAAGAAGTGGAGAGGGACGGTGTGAATGCAAGCAGCCAGGTGTGCACCCACCAGGTCATGCGGGGAACACTGGAAGAGGGCACTAAAGTCAGTTCCAGCAGGGTTGGGTGAGACCTCAGGGTGATGCATGGGCACTGTTTTTGCTCTCCCTACTGGACCATTCAGCCTGAGACATGCTGTAGTCTCTCCATTAAAAGAGTCCTCCACTGGCTCCTTACATCCTCTCTGTCCTAGTCGGTTTGGCTACTATAACAAACTATCATAGATTGGATGGTTTATACACAACAGAAACTTGTTTCTCACAGTTTGGGAGGCCAGAAGTCTGAGAACAGGATGCTAGTCTGGTCAGGTTCATTGAGGGCCTCCTTCCAGGTGCAGGCTGCAGACCTCTCATTGCAGCCATACATGGTAGAAAGACCGCCAGAGAGCTCTCTGGGGTCTCATGTGTGAGGGCACTCATCCCATTCATGAGGGATTTACCCTCAGGACCTAATGACCTCCCAAGGCCCCCTCACCTAATACCACCACAGTGGGATTTGGAGTTCAGTGTACAGATTTGGGAGGCACACAACATTCAGTTCATAGCACTCTCTAACTACTACCCCAGTTTCCTTTTTCAGCCAATAATGATGCCCAAAGTCACATGCCCTCTGGGAGCATTACCCACAGGAACATGTGGGATTGGTTCATTGCCACAGAGATTTGGTGGGGCCCAAAGGAACTTCTAGAAACTTCAAGTTTACACATCACTACATCTGCTTTTGTTGTCTCTGTGGACTCCCAGTCGCTTCACAGGAGGCCGCTGGATGCTGCTGAACATGCATCTCGGGGGCCTGGGGGAGCTGAGTGCCACTCCCAGGTTGGCTCAGACTCGGCCCTAAGCACCGCGTAGTGATGTGCTTCCCCTGCCACCCCCCACCTCACCGCACTCTCCTCGCTATGTTCTCTCCATCTCCAGGAGACACTTCCCCTTCAAGGCCCCATTTAAAATTCTCCTTTTCTGTGAAGACTTTGCTGATCTCACAGCCAGACAAGCCTCTCCTTCCACTGGACTCAACATCCTTTTGCCCGTATCAAGAAGGTAGCAATTGTCATGCTCCACATGGGTCTCCCTGACAAGCCCGGGCACTGCCTGGTGGCAAGAACCGCACCTCATTCATCTTTATGGTGCCCAACACCCGCTAGACTCTCAGGATTGTTGGATAAAGGAAGACTTCTTTGCCAGACATTGAGCAAGACTCAGTTTTTGTAAGGTGTATATGCTCATCTCTAAAATAGGGGCAGACAGGCCTACTCAAATCCAGTGAGTCCAGCAATGGGGGGAATGCCTTGCAAATCCTAGAGAACTGCAAGGATGTGTGAGGATTCTTCTCCATGCCATCACATACTTCTCAGGGCCAGCCTGGTGACCTGGCCCAAGAGAAGCAGGTATAAGATCATTCCGGCCATGCATGTTTTCATTTCCATGAGATGAAGAACTGTGTGTCAGTTTTGACTCTTACATACTGATGCCAGATGCACTCTTGCGTGTGTGGATCTCTCCCCAGTCCAGGGCAGTAACCTCACAATGGTACCTACAGATGCACAGGAGTTGCCTAAACATTGCAAAAGGAAGGACAGAATTAGAGCAGTTAGTTTTCTTAGGCTTCCTGTAGAGCTTGTCTCAATACCCACCCAGAGGGCACTGGAGGGTGAAGAAATTTCCTTTCTCAAGCCCTTCATTCACTCACTCATTCCCTCTCAGCTTCAGCGCACTCCCTGGTGGAAACAAACAGGTAACGGGGTGGTAAGCCCTATGACAGACCTTTGCAAATGTCCTCAGAGGCGTGCAGAGGAGGAACACTTACGCCAGACTCCGGGGAGAAGCTGCCTGCGGGAGCTCTCACCTGAGGAGGACACAGGAAGGGTTTTCCTTGCAGCAGGAACAGCTTACGCAAAACCTGGATGTGAGCAAGAACATGATGTGCTCCCAGAAGAATAAACTGTTCAGAGCGGCTGGCGTGTAAAGGGTAAAGGCTGAGTGAGCAGAAATGCCACCAGAGCAGGGGGTGAGAGCCAGACCAGGGGCCCTTAGGAGCCAGGCCGAGGGTCCTCTCTGAAGGATGCCTGAAATGCCTCCGCTGCAGCTTGCTAGAGGCCTTCTAATTAACCTGCGAAGAACCGTCTGCAGGCCCCCAGTCCGGTGTTCACTCGTTCATTCATTCGCTCTTCACTGGGTGCCCTGGCACTCCAAGCCTCCAGCGCACACCCAGCCCTAACCTTGACCAGGGTGCTGAGCACGAGGAGCCCCACCCTGAGCCAGGCCTGGAGAGGCGCCTTTAAGCGCAGGTCCTGCGGCTGCTGACAGGTCATCAGAGCTGGGACCAAAGACCCGCCGGGAGGCTGGCAGCCTAGGTCGCTTCCCAAGCTCTCCGGGCCCTTCCCTTCGGCGGCTAATTTCCACTTTTCATAAGGATGTGTTCATTCAGGGGACTAGGAGCAGAGGCGCGCCCGATGGGGGACACGTGCCCCCTCGACGGCACGCGCTTTGATGCTCGCGGGGGCCAGAGGCGAGGCGGCCAGCATCTCGCGTTCCTGCGCCGGACGCTGTCTTTGGGAAGCTCCAGGCGTAGGTTCGCATTGCGTGCGGGAAGCCCCCTGCCCACATGAAAGGCTCGCTGTCGGGCTGTGGGTCCCGGCTCCCGCCCCCAGCCCTGCAGACACACTCCGCTCCCAGCGAGGAGCCCCGGAGCCGCACAAAGGAAATGGCAAGAGACTGAGTCACCACCATCCAGAGAGGCTCGCCCGCGGCCCGGGCCGCGGCCACAACAGGACCTTTGTGCTGCGCTCCAGGAAGACGAGGAGGGCCGGCTGGAGGGAGGCAGACAGTTCAGGGCGCTGAGTAATGCCGGGGTGAGGGGAGGAATCTCCCCCGGAAGAGAGACCGGCCCCTCGGCCCCCGCCACTCCTCAAAGCCACGGTGCAGCGCGGGGACTCGCAGGCTGCTTAGAGACGGCCTCCCTGCCTCCACCGTGTCGCAGCGCTGGCCCCCTGAGGGGTGCCTCCTCCTTTGCGGGCATCTGTTTCCTCTCCGTGGTGTGAGGGGCTGGAGGCCTGGGACGTGTCTGTTTCAACTCTTTTCCTGCCATAGTCCCTGACAGCATGCAGCAGGTGCTAAATGTTTGTGCATGGATGTTGGCGGGATGGATGGACAGATGGAAGGATTCATCCCACAAACGCTGCATGTGAAGAGCTGACCAGTGCTCTCGTTTCACAGATGGGGAAATGGAGGCCGAGACGTGGGAATGCTTTATGCCAGGTCCCGCATGAACAGTGGTAGATCTAGAACTCAGGTGCTACGCTGTCGGCCTGCTGTTGGTCTGCGGAGCTACTATATAGCTGTTGCGTGACTCAGGGAACACCTGGGGCGTGACTGACAGGTGGAGAAGGGTCAAGGTGGTTGGAGCCCAAGCGTGGATAAGACAGCCCCGGAGGGAGAGGCCAGCCTGGGACAGGGCTTACTGGAGAGTGAGGGAGAGAGGCCAGCGCAACAGCAGCCTGGGCCCCGGGCCTCAGGATGATGACAATCTCTTGGTCAAGATAGGTCATACAGATTACAGAAACTGGGAAAGAACCAGCATTTGTTGAGCACTGAGTGAGTGTATGCAAGGCACAGATATTTAATACTTTACCCAACCCTGAGGGAGGTGTTGTTCCAGATAGAGAAGGTGATTGGGAGACAGGTGCCTTCTGGAATAATCTGTTGCTGGCTCTGGCAGGGCCTTAGAGTGGTGGTAACTCTGTGGGGCCGCCTTGTGACAAACACGGGTTCTCAGCCTGCAGCCCAGAAACTCCCTGTTGTTGATGTACTCAGAGGACGTCAGCATCTCAGGGCTACTCAAGTCAACTCACACTCAGAAAGTCTGAGGTCAGCTACCGGGATACTGGGGTGAAGGATGATCTGTGCTCTTCCACATGTGAGAAGCTGAAGCCCATGAGCCAGCCAGGTTGCCTGGGGCCACGGCAGCAGAGCCAGAGCTTTAGAGCCGCACCTGGGAGCTCTGACCATCTGTGAACCTCACCGGCGGGAGTCAGGGGGACAGGCTGCCACACACTACACAGCTGAGCTCCTGAGGATGGGCACACCCAGGACAGTGTGCACAGACGGCCCCTCCTCTCCTAACGCCTATGCTGACCATAGTCACCATGCACCTTTGTTAGAACAATCTTTCAGCTCAAACCAAAGCAACACACTAGCTGTTCAGACAAGCCAATACAGCCACTCTCTGACACTACACCCAGGACGTTCTGATGAGAGGCAAATGGCTCAGAAGTCCTCAGCCTCCTCTTGACCAGAGCATGGTTTAGGGCAAATGCTGTCTATATGTGACAGGGACCATTCCCTACCTCTGGTGTTTTCTAATTCCTTAACAGAAGCTAATCTTAATTTTAAGAATGCCATCCCAGAAATCTTTAATAGATGAGCTATTAAATCTCATCTTTAACTTTGGAGAATTTAGAAAGATTCTGGGATGAAGTTTAATAGTTCATCTCAAAGGTCACATGGCTAAAAAGTGGTGGCCTAGGACTCCAGCCCATTACATCCCACTACGCCTCCCCTTAAGACTATTCACAACAGGCGGGGTGCAGTGGCTCACTCCTGTAATCCCAGCACTTTGGGAGGCCGAGGCGGGTGGATCACCTGAGGTCAGGAGTTTGAGACCAGCCTGGCCAACATGGTGAAACCCCATCTCTACTAAAAATACAAAATTAGCCGGGCGTGGTGTGCATGCCTGTAATCCTAGCTACTCGGGAGGCTGAGGCAGGAGAATCACTTGAACCCAGGAGGCGGAGGTTGCAGTGAGCCGAGATTGCGACATTGCACTCCAGCCTGGGCGACAAGAGTGAAACTCCACTCAAAAAAAAAAAAAAAGTATATATATATATACCAGTCACAACAACAGCAATGATAAAGGCTAATGATTGCTGAGGGTTTGCTATGTGCAAGCGCGTTTTTTCACGTAATCCTCACAGTAGCACCATGAGACTGTTCTCAGCCTCATTTTAAAGATGAGAGTTGAAGCACAGAGCGGTAAAGAAACTTGCCCAAGCTAAGGTCACACAGCTACGAAGTGCAAAGGCTGGATTTCAAACCAGTCTGTCTGCCTCTACCCAAGCTCTTAGCCACCCCACTCTACAGCAAAGCAAAGCAAGATGTCTGCAATAACTAACCCCCATAGCACCCTTGAGTCCTGCTGTCCTGGAGAAAAGCTATCTGCAGCTCTGAGTGGGAGAGTAGGGAGCCACCCCATCATGGGGTTACCAAAGTCCAGAGTCCTGCCCCTGGCATTGTCAGTTTAGAGATTAGGTTTCTATCAGCCTCCCAGAGAGGAACAGGTTCAGGCAGTCTGACTTATGGTGACTCAGCCCACAAGGGAATGCGCCAAACCCAGTGAATTGATTCACCTGTGAGATACACTGGCCAGAAAAAAGATTGTGGTTTAGCGCCCTGGCTTCAGGGTCAAACACAGCTGGGTTTGAAACTCCATCCACCACTTCCTAGCCCCATGACTTTACACATGTTACTCACTCTTTGGACATGAAACTCAATCTCAGTTTCAGCCTCTGGAAATGGGGAAAAATGCCAATCTTGTGCAGTGGCTGTGGCTTAAACCAGATGTGTGTAAAATAGTACAATAGGAGCTCAATAAATGTCAGTACTTAAAATTTTCATTATTTGTATTGTTCCAAAAACCAGGCTTATTGGGAGGCCTACATGGGCAGATCATGAGGTCAGGAGATCGAGACCATCCTGGCCAACATGGTGAAACCCCGTCTCTACTAAAAATACAAAAATTAGCTGGGCATGGTGGTGTACGCCTGTAGTCCCAGCTACGTGGGAGGCTAAGGCAGGAGAATTGCTTGAACCCAGGAGGCAGAGGTTACAGTGAGCCGAGATCACACCACTGTACTCTAGCTTGGGCAACAGAGCAAGACTCCATCTCAAAACAAACAAACAAAAAACAAGCTTGGCCACCTGATAAGATCCTCCCTGCACAGTGGGTAGGTCCCACCATAAACAAAACAAAACAAAACAAATTCCAGCTCAAAAGGCTGCTAAGAAAGCCCAGATTGGAGGAAGGGGACTTATCCCTCAGCTTCTGATAGCTGAGTGAGCTGTCCACCACCCTTCCCTCACCTCCAACCCCAGGGTATTCCTATTTGAACCTAGGGTGCTGTTTTGGACCAGGAACCCTGGCTTCTCCTGGACGGAGCTGCTCATAATAACAGTCTCCTTTACCAGTACCTCCTTCTCACTGGAAGTCCTGACCTGCCACCTCAGCTTTGCAGCGCCTGGTGGGTAAACTCTTGTCCCCTCTCCGTGGCTCTGGTCAAAGGTACCTTCATTTGTGAGGTCTTCTCAGAACCCTCAGGCACAGTTAAATTGATCACACACTGACCACATGGAGTACACTCCCAGCACTGAGACACGACAGTGAAAAACACAGAGGCGGTTCCTCTCTGTCTCGAGCCTGAAGCCTAGTGGGACAAGGAACAAGCAAAGAAAGAAACAAAATTTTTAGAGCTTCTGGTAATTGCAAAGAAGGAACTAGCCAGTGTGATGTGATAGAGAATAACTCTGGGGCAGGGCAGTGCAGTGGTCAGGCAAGGGGAGGTGGCATTTATTCTGAGACCTAAAGAGCAAGCAGCAGCCAGTCTTGCCCTAAGCTGGGAACACAGATTTCTGGAATAAGGAATAGCTTTTCCCTGCTGGGGAAAGAAAGAACTTGGCATGTTCCTCATGATCAGAAGACCAGGCCGGAGCAGAGGGAGTGGGCAGGATAGGGGAGGAAGAGGCATGGCAGTCAGAGGGAGGCACAGGCCTTGATCCTCTGTGAACCCAGCTGCTTGTGTGGTAGTGAGAATATGACTCGTTACCATTTACTGAACACCTACTATGTGCCAGGCACTTTCTATAAACTCTGTCATGTAATCCTCATTCTCCCAGCCACCCCTACCCATACACAGTGTCTCTCTTCATGCTCTTGTCTTGCCTATTGTCGCTCTCTGCAGGTTTGTTTCCCTGCCCACCCCACCCCATTAGACTGTAAGCTCCTCTGTAAGACATTCAGTCCCCCCGCATGTAGCACCAAAACACAGGGCTGTCATGCCTGCGGAGTTTTAGTCCTCACTTGGTCTTGAGCAATTACAATTTGGGGGATCAGTGACAGAAATTGATGCTTTCAGATAAAGTTCCTAGAAACATACTAGGCACCTGGATGTGATGGTTTAAGAAATAACTCAGTTGCACTGGTAGCACACTCAGAAGTATTATTTAGGCCAGCTCGTTCTTTGGAACTATGCACAGGGGCTAATCTCACCCCTTTGTGTGTTAGTGTCTACTGCAGGGGGTGACAGGCCCAAACTTGCCCCCAGATAGAAAGATGTGCTCTAGACAGGCCATAGGGACCATGCTGCAGGAAGCAGGAATGAGCCCATTCCATTCAATACACTGTCACTGGACACCTACTATGTGCGTGACTGTGTGGCAGATGTTCTACTGGACATAAAAACGAATTCAGTGTCCCATGCTCTTTAGTTGGAATATTGCAGGGTTGAGCAGGTGCAATGTTGTAATAGAGGTAGCAGGCCTGAGCGTGTGCAATGTTGTAATAGAGGTAGCAGGGCTGAGCGTGTGCAATGTTGTAATAGAGGTACAAGCAACACAGGGATAGGGAGAAGGTGATCCACATTGCAGGGGCCTAATTACAGGGGGCCCTGAATGCCAAGCCAAGACTTGGAAAATTAGAAGGTAAGTAATGGAAGAAGCGAGAATCACAAACGTGGCTTTCGTTTTTGTTTTTTTAAGTACTCTTTTCTTAAAGAAGGAAATTGTAAATGTTCTGTTTTGAAAGGACTATTCAGGGATAAAGTACAGAAAACAACTGACAAGGGGTTCAGAATAATAAGAAAGGAGCATGGCCAGGGGAAAGCATTTGGGGCCAGGAGTGGGAGACGATGTGGTGATAGGGGCTTGGGGTGGCTCACCCCATCTGTAGTGTGAACAAACCTGAGGCTAAGAAAGGGAGGGGTCACAGAAACCTACTGAGGTGCTGAGGTATAGGTGGGAGGCGGGGCAGGGCTGGGACTCTTACTGTGGACGTGTCAATCAAAGCTGACCAGCCCAAGACTCTAGAAGCCAGAAACAATGGAGCTACCACTATGAAAGGAAAAATACTAGCCTTAAGTTGGAATTGGGTTCCAGTCCAATTCCTTGCCATTGATTTACTATGTAACTTGGATCAAGTCACTTCACTCTGTGAACCTATTTCCTCCACTGAACAATGGTGATTGCAGCCTCCAGATCTCATGTTGTGATAGATAACAAAGGCATGTGAAGGCCCCTTTCATTGAATCTGAGAATCCGAGGCCTTTCTCCAGGTGTTCAGTTGGAATCAGTCTCTACTTCCTTCTCACATGTACCCATCCCTGTGTCCCTGCATGAGCTTAGGCAAAGGACAGGCTTTCAACTCCGTGATTCCTAAAAGTCCCCCTTGCTCTAAACTTGTAGGTTTCTATGACAAAGTTGGATTTTGTTGGATCAAGTTAACTCAGGTCTACAGAGCACCCAAATGAATCCGTTTCATAAGGAAAATCATAGATCTATAAATAATAGGGCAGTGTTGCATATTTACACATACCATATTGGGTCTGGGTAGATGGTGCAATCTATTTTGGTCCGATTTTCAAGTTACAATGTTACTTATTGCTTAATGGCAGACAGTAATGTAAAGGGAATTATGTTACTATAGCCATTAAAAGTGGGCTATTTATAGCTTCCCTTCTGCAGGTCTTCTCACCATTCTCAACTTGAAATTTCCTTCACTGAATTTATCACAGCCAACTGAGATGGTTTATTTTGAAAGTGGAACACAGAGAAAAGAGAGAGCACCACCCAGAAAAAGGGGCAGGATCAAAGAGGCCACCAGACAATTTTCCAGGCTTGTTTGAAAGCCAACAGCAGCCCCTTGAAGGAACTCTCGCCTCAGGATGACAAAATAAATAGTGACCTTGCATCAGGGCTCGCTGGGTTGGCCTGGCACTTTCTGTGCAGGGAACCTTGGTTTCCAAATGAGTGAACTATGTTTGCCTTCCACCGCAGGGACTGGAATGAGTTAGATTCAGAGGTTCTCCTGCTTTTTAAATCATCAAATCAGAGTTCAGGGATCTAAAATTGATACAAGATGATCTCAATGTCAAGGGTACAGTTAATTTTTACAACAAATGCTTCTACCTGGAGAATCTATAACATGCTTCTGTTGGACTGGAAGGCAATTTTAGAATAGAATGCCTAGGTTTATAAAGGTGCCTTAGTCCATTCAGGCTGCTTTAACAAAATACTACAAGCGAGGTGGCTTATGAACAACAGGAATTTATTTCTCACAGTGCTGGAGGCTGGGAAGTTCAAGATCAAGGAGCCAGCAAACTTGGTGTCTGGTGAGGACCCACTCTCTGGTACAGAGGTGGTACCTTCTAGCTGTGTCTTCACATGGTGGAAGAGACCAGGCAGCTCTCTGGTGTCTCCTTAATAAGGGCATTGATCCTATCCCAAAGGTGGTGATCTAATCACCTCCCAAGGGCCCCACCTCCTAATATC
The DNA here is from genome assembly GCF_000001405.40 of Homo sapiens. Taxonomy (NCBI): domain Eukaryota; kingdom Metazoa; phylum Chordata; class Mammalia; order Primates; family Hominidae; genus Homo; species Homo sapiens. The sequence goes on from NC_000003.12 coordinate 193,876,716, forward strand.
ATATTGCTGATTGAATTTCAATACAGAATTTGAGGTGGGGGGGCACAAAGCAAAATGCCATCCTCACATTAATAGAGAGGAAGAAAGGCAGGCCTAAGGACCTAGAGGGGAAAGGTTACATCTCAGGAAGAGAAAGCGAGAGAGAGGAACTCCCAGGGAAAATTGTTGGATCTCTTTGAATGAAGTGTGGTCTTAATCCACAGGTCTACAAGGACTCCAGAACTCTCCAGGAGTGATGAAAGATGGTGTCTTAGCCTGGGTTTCTGCAACAAGCAGAGCCTAGCACAACATGGTGGTTTACTTTGAAAAGTGATCCCAAGAAACAGGAGTGAGAGGCTCGGAAGAGTCAAACGGAAAGAGGACAAGCCAACCAAGGTAAATTATTGAGCTGGTCAGGCCAGTGAGAAACTGGAGCTCGATACCGCTGGGGACCCCTAGCAAGCTGTGAGGGATGACCCCATGGATCACAGGTCATCCCGGGGGTTGTTAACCCTCTCCCACAGCCAGGTTTCCAAACATATCACAATGACAAAATGAGTGTCCTCAGCATCTCACATCATGGTGGCAGAGGAGCCCCTGAGCAGAAAGTGGGAGGAGTGAGAAGCTGGGATCTGTTGCAGCTGATGCCAGGACATGGCTGGGGAGAAGGTGGGCAGGAGGATGAAAGGCAGGCTGCAAGGTACCCCATTAGTAAGTGAGAGACATTAGCACTCAGCCTCACGCAAGGGTAAACTCACCCAGTCCAGCCTGGACTCCCAGCTCAGAGACGAAGAGCTAGTCTAATCTTATTACTTAATATTGTTAGAAGATTCTGGAAAGACAGTTTTCTTAGAAAGGAGGAGAGCATGGGCAGAAAGAAAGAAAAAAAAGAAAAGATGGAAAAAGGAAGGAAGGAAGGAAAATTGCTAGAACCTCGGGCAGATGCTTTTTTCTAGCTAGCTTTTTTCTTCTTTAAAAAAAAAAAAACACGGAGTTTTCTTTTTGTAGTATTGAAAAATGAATTTATGGCCGGGAATGGTGGCTCACACCTGTAATCCCAGCACTTTGGGAGGCCGAGGCAGGCGGATCACAAAGTCAGGAGATCAAGACCAACTTGGCTAACATGGTGAAACCCTGTCTCTACTAAAAATATAAAAAATTAGCTGGGCGTGGTGGCAGGCGCCTGTAGTCCCAACTACTCTGAAGGCTGAGGCAGGAGAATGGCGTGAACCCAGGAGGCGGAGCTTGCAGTGAGCCGAGATGGCACCACTGCACTCCAGCCTGGGCGACAGAGCGAGACTCCGTCTCAAAAAAAAAAAAAAAAAGGGTGAATTTATGCCTGTAATAAATTATTTAAACACTTAAGACAGAATATAGAATGAATAAATTTCTCTCCTATCCCAGATCCCAGTCTCTCTCCCCAGAGGTAATTACTGCTACGAGTTTCTTGTGTATTCTTCCAGAAATATTTTTATGCATATTAACACATGTGCATATTTCCTTTTAAAATTACAACAAAAATAAACAAATTGTAGACCTTTTTCATTTCCTGCCCCCTCCCCCTGCTTTGAGGATTGCTTCATATAACCTTATGTAAATCTACCTCATTGAAAAAATTCCTTTATAATACTCTGTTAGAAGGACTTGCCTAATTTATTTAACGAGTTTCCTTTTGATGGATAGGTAGGGTATTTTTTTCCCTTTTATTTTCATTGCTAACAATGATGTGTTGAATATTCTTGTTTGCTCTTTTCTGTACAAATCTCTAAGAGTATTTGTAGAATACATTTCTAGGAGTGAAACTGTGAAAAAAAACTATGTACAGGTAAGCTTTTAGGAAAGATTGCCAAGTTACTCTTCAAGGGTTCTCGCAGATTTATGCTTCTACCCCAGGGAGGAGAGCGCCTGCTGGTGTCCTCCGCTTCTTCACATTGTGTGACCTTTATGAATCTAGTAGGTAAAAAATGAACCTTAGGCCGGGCATGGTGACTCACACCTGTAATCCCAGCACTCTGGGAGGTCAAGGAGGGAGGATTGCTTGAGGCTGGGAATTTGAGACCAGCCTGGGCAACACAGTAAAACCCATCTCTACAAAAAAAAAAAAAAAATTAGTCGGGTTTGGTGGCATGTGCCTATAGTCCTAGCCACTCAGGAGGCTGAGGCAGGAGGATACCTTGAGCCCAGAAGCTTGAGGCTGCCGTGAGCCATGATCATGCCACTGCACCCCAGCCTGGCAACGGAGCAAAACTCTGTCTCAACGAAAAAAGTGAACGTTATTATTTTAATGTATGTCTACTTAATTATGAGTGATTGTCAACATTTTATCATGTATTTATAAACCAGCTATTTTTCACTTTCTGAGACTGCCTGTCTCAGAGCCAAGATAACAGATAAACACAACGTTCTGTGTATAGGCTGTGCCTGGGTGCATCACGATTCACCTAAAAATCACCACTGAAATCCGCAGCAGGCAATTGTGCCAGACAACAGGTGATGACGGGGGCAAACACGACTCAGCTTCTGCCTGCAGCATCTACAGTCATGGAAGGAGACCTCCGGTAACCCAGTGATTGAAATAACGCATTTAAGTGCCACAAGGGGAACTAAGAGTGCCACCCAGCAGGGGCGAGTCACCTGACCCGGGGTGTCCAGGAGACAGCATGGAGGAAGCCATCTGCCCACTGAGACTAGGAGGGGGATCTCAAAGTTACAAAGCAAAGGGGCTGGGGCAGAGACCATTCACAGTAGCAGGAGGAAGACTGCTGAGGGGACAGACAGAGGGTGAGTGTGGGGTAGGGGTGAGGCAGAGGAATGAGGAGAAGAGGGGAGTGGTGAGCCATCCAGTTTGCCAAGGACTAAGGAGAATTCAGGACTTCAGTGCTAAAATCAGGGAAGTCCCTTGCTAACCTGGAAAAGCGAGTCCCACATAGAGCTGCTTATCAACCCTGCTGAGGATTTCAGACTTTATCTTAAAGGGCATAGTGACCTATCAGAGTTTTCAGTAGGGAAGTGATGCATACAGAGTTACATTTTCCAAAGGTCAGCGTGGTAGAGTCTGACATGGACGGGGCAAGGGGGCAGCGTGGCAAGGCTGGAGGTGGAGAGACCAGCTGGGTGGCAGTTTGCAGTAATACCAGCGAGAGAGGATGGTGCCTGGAACAGTGATATTGGCAATGGAGACAAAGATCAGCTGGATTTAGGGGCTGACTGCTGTGAGTGCTGCTGTTCTCTGAGGGGAGTGGGAGGACCCTTTCAGGGGAGGAGTGGTGTCAGAGGAGGGAGTTGATAAGTTGAGAACCCACCCTGTGGACAGGGAGGACCTGAGAGATAGCCAAGTCATTATGTGCAAGAGGCCGTTTGATATCTGGATCTGCAGTTCAGAAGAGAAGATCTGGTGGAGATAAAATCTGGGGCAATGTCACCTTTAAAATGCTAACTGAGGCCCCATTGATGCAGATAAGAACACCCAAAAGTGTCCAGGAAAGTCTGATTCAGGGCTGCAAAGATAATGTCATTAATTAAAAATAAAAACTGCATTTACAAAAGTTCAAAATAGTTTGGTTTAGAATAACAACTTAAAAATTATTTAGTAGGTGGTCTTTTATGAACGTGTATTTTAACAGACACGTAACTGCTGTAGTGTGTGTGGGGGAAGGGGTCAAAGATTGATCAGAGGGTCTCCGAGGCACCTTCAGACCACACGCTCTGGGCAGGAAGTTTGTCCTTTCTGTCTGCTCAGGCCCACAGTGTCAGGAGGGAAATTCTGAGGCCTGAGGCCTCAGAACACAGCTCACACACTGTCCTCAGCTGCCCAGGCCAGGAGGCTATTTGCCCAAGGTCACTCGACTGGTCCAACAGGAGAACTCGGATTGTAGAACCATAGTCACTTGAGGTCAGAAGTTCAAGACCAGCCTGGCCAACATCTCCACTAAAATACAACATGTCTCTACTAAAAATACAAAAAAAGTAGCCAGACATGGTGGCAGGCGCCTGTAATCCCAGCAACTCGGGAGGCTGAGGCAAGAGAATTGCTTGAACCCAGGAGGCGTAGGTTGCAGTGAGCTGAGATTGCGCCACTGCACTCCAGCCTGGGCAACAGAGCAAGACTCTGTCTCAAAAAACAACAAACAAACACATGAAAGAACTGGGAGGGATCCTGGTGCTCTGTGAACAAGACTAATAGCCTCATTTTTCAGTGAAAGTGTGGTGTTTGCTGTGAGAGGGAGCAGACGCTCACTGCCATAGATCTCAGAGACCACCAAGGCTGAATAAGCTGAACAACGCATGCGGAAAGTCCACAGGCCTGCACACCAATGGCCACAGCCTGTTCTCTCCCTGCAGGTGAGTTTCTCCGCATCCACTGTAGCCACACATCACTCAGCAGCTCCATACACTTCTCACCTCACAAAGGACGCACCTGAGGCTGGGCAGCATGGTACCCGCTAAGGGAAGGCTAGGCTGATTTTACTCCACCCAAAGGGAAAGAGGGCTCTGCCATTCTTTGATATGAGGAACGCTTGCACAGCAAAGAATGGCAGAGCCTTCTTTCCTGTTAGGTGGAGTAAAATCAGCTCCTTTAGCTTTTCTGAGTAGTTTCATACACAGTATCCCACTGATGGAGATGAAGATCATATCCAAAGTTCCATAGCTAATATATGGTCAAGATGAGAGTTGAATCCAGATTTTTCTCATTTATTTCATCATCCATTTAACAATTACCATTACCTGGGCAGCTACTAAATGCCTTGTGCTCTGTGAGGCTCAGGACACAAAGCAGAGTGGGATTCTCAGCCACCCTGCCGGTCACTGAAACACCTTCCTCTCTCTGCTCAGGTAGGACACTCATGCGGTACCACCCTTCCTGAGGACACCTTCCTTCCATTGCCTGGACAGCAGCATCCTGCCCTGGGCCACCCTCCATGTGGATGCCCTTCCCACTTCCCCAGGGCACTGACTCCAAGCGCAAGGTGCCCTTGCAATAGACACTCTCCTCACCCCTCTAGTTCTGCCATCCTGCCCTGGGCCACCTTCTGTGTAGACCCCTCCTCACCCCACTGAGGGTCTGAGTCTCCGTGCCAGGACATCCTCCCTGGACAGGACCCCCTTCGGACCCTGCTTTGGTCTCCGACACATGCTGGGCTGCCCCCTCCTATGTTGGCACCCTCCTCGCTCCACATGGGCAACCTCACACTGGACCACCGCCCTTGTGTGAGCCTCTATCTCACCCCGGTGGACTCCACCCTCCTGCTCTGGGCACGCTACTTCCTCCCCACTCAGCTACAGAGGCCTGCCTTGCTCTACCTTACCTAATGGCTTCTGAACAGAATTTTCTAGAAGGGAGAGGAAGAAGCATCGAGCTGGTTCTCTTGGCCTGTTCCTGGATCCCATCCTTCTCCTTTGTTCCCGGCTCCTCCATTCTCTAGGAATCTCAATCTCTTCCGGCATTGCTGAGTTCTCAAGGTAGGTGAGGTTTTTGCTGGCTTCCTGCAGGGCTTCCTCTGTCTCCTACCCCATTCCTGCACCATCTCTGATGGCCTGGAGCTCTCCAAGGGCCAAAGCCATGTGGGTTCTGCGGGAAACTCTGGAAGAATGCCTCTGCTCAACATCTTACTTCGTCACAGTTGGCCAGAGAATTCCCCAATCAGTGTGCTGCCTGGGCTCCATGTTTCACGGAGTTTGGAGTCAAACAGCTTTTACAGGATGCCTGTAGCAGCTCTGCTCTCACCCTCCTCCTTCCCTCCACAATCTGGATTGGGAGACAAACCTGACTGGCAGACAGCGCCATGCATGTGGGATTTCCTCCCATATCCCAGCTTAGGCCTTGCACTGACCAATTCAAGCTTATAGTGCCCTCATTCCTGTCCTCTTAAAATAATTAATCTCCCTGGCTCTCATACAAACAAACTTCTGGTTGCCCACCACCACCCATTCTAGACCTTTTAAAAGCCCAATTGTGGGCACAGCTTGGGCTTACGAGGGACGTCCTTCAACTATCTGGCTGAGCATGCTTCTCTTACACTGTTCTCCCTCCCCTCAGTGTGCCCTGTGTGCCAAAGCAGCGTCCATGTTTTGTTACCCACCCGTTGACTAAGACCTCTGTGATACCGAGGCCTGAGGAGCTGCGAGCCCCCATGGCAGAGGCAGGCAAAGGCCCATCTGCTAAAACTCAGGTCCACGTGCAACCTCAAAAGCACCCTGGAACACCTTTTCCTTCCATCTCTCTTAGGTTTTAGCCAGCCAGGAGGAAATTAGAATTTTTTTTCCCATTTTATGATGAGTTATGGAAGAATTAGGTAAAGGAACATTTAAGCTCCCTACTGCTGGGAAACTTGTCTATGGTGAGAGATTTATCAGACCTGGGTGTGTCACCAGGGGAGGCTAGGAAACCTCATTACTGAATATAGAGCCCCAGACCAGGTCTTGGAGACTCTATCATTGATCCAGATAACCCAACTCTGCTTTTTCACTTGCCATCCTTTTAAATTCCCAAATCCTAACTCAAATGCATAGGCTGTCTTTCAAAGAGCAATGACAAGAGAAAGGCATGCACGCTGCGTATGAGAGGGGAGGGGAGGTTCCTGCGGCAGAAGAAGCAAGGTGAGGCACAAGTAACACTGACCGAAATAGAAAGAGCATGACTCAGCTGGGCGTGGTGGCTCGCACCTGGAATCCCAGCACCATGGGAGGCCAAGGCGGGCAGATCACCTGAGGTCAGGAGTTCAAGACCAGCCTGGCCAATATGGCAAAACCCCATCTCTACTAAAAATACAAAAATTAGCTAGGCGTGGTGGCGGGCACCTGTAATCCCAGCTACTCGGGAGGCTGAGGGGGAGGATTGCTTGAAACCAGGAGGCAGAGGTTTCAGTGAGCTGAGATTGTGCCACTGCACTCCAGCCCAGGCAACAGAGCAACACTCCATCTCCAAAAAAGAAAAAAAAGAACAAAAGAAAAAGTATGACTCGACAGCCTTGGCATTGGGCAGGCATTCAGCCCCATGTTAAGGACCCTTGGACCTTTTGGAGTCCAGAGAGTGACTCACCCCTGACCAGGGGCAATCCTACTCTCAGCTCCAACAGTGTTCTTCTGACTCACGGGTACCCCAACCACACTTGGCACTAAAGTTCTGGCTCATGAGAACAGGAAAAAGGAGAAGCAGAGGCATCATATGCTCCCAGGCATCATTCTGTGGGGTATGCCAGTCTTTGCAAATTCTTGGACAGAACAGCATGCAGGGAGAGGGGCACAAACACGTTACATCGGGTTTCCTGTGTACCATCTTGCTCTTGCGGCATCATTGTCCAAGTCCCTCCAGTAGTGCTAGCCGACTGAACTTTCTGCAATGATAGACATGTCCTAGAGTTGAACTGTCCAGCAGGGTGGCCGTGAGCCATCTGTGACCACTGAGCACCTGAAATGAAACTAGTGTGGTTTTCTTTAGTTCTAAGTAATTTATATTTACATACATACAGCCACATGTAGCCAATGACTACTGGATTGGGCAGCACAGCCCTTGATGATGCCCGGCTCTGTCGGGCACCATCATCTCATTCAGGCATTGTGAGTAATGGCCTAAATTCCTTGGGATGACAAAAGCGAGGTTTGTCTGGGAGTATGAAAAGACGCTTCTCTGCCTCGTTTCATGCTTTCTTACAGGGTCGCAGAGAGGGCAGCTTCTGCCATTACTTTTTTTTTTTTTTAACTACCTCTGTGTTTACAGCTCTCTACTTTCCACTGAGCCTGTGAGTCCAGCAGGGACTGGGGTTGGGATGCAGTTTTCAGAGACCTGTGACTACACCTTTGTTACTGGATAGACTCCTCAGCCCTGGATCAGCCACAGCCCTCTCCCAGGAAGCCCCTCAACTCTCTGCTATTACCCTTCTCCAAGGCCTGAAAACAGGACTCTCTCTTCGAGAAGATCACAGACCCTTGAGAAGATACAGAAATTCTCTGCTCGGCCCAAGTCAAAATAAAATGACTGAATAGGCCAGGGCAGCACAGACGAGAGAGGAGTTTTCTCTGGGGCAGTGGTTCTCCAAGTGTAGTCACTGAGCAAGCAGCAGCAGAGTCAGCTGGGAACTTGTGGGACATACAGATCCTGGAGCCCCACCCAGACTACTGAAGCAGAACCTCCTGGGGTGGCGCTGGCAATCTGTGTTTTAATAAGCCCTCCTCATTCTGATGTCCTCTAAAGTGTGAGAACCACAGCTCCAGAATACTGCAGGGCAGTGACGGGTGGAGGAGAAGGAGTAGGGCTGACTTCTCAGAAGAGTCCCGAAGACCTTGTCCTTGAGTCTGCAGAGAAGTTCACCAGGCAGACAAAGAAAGAAAGAGCAAGCCCAGGCATACCCACAAGTACCATCTGAGCTCTGCATACCTTCTGATATATGTTTAATAATCTTGGAATAACAATTGTATTGATATTATGTTGTTTAGAGTAAGTGGCAATGTATTCTTTGAAGAGTTAAAACTGTTTTCTGTGTTTAGAAAAGTTCTCACTTGAACTTAATTTTGTGTTCTAAATTTAACTAAGGATTATTTTTATACAAACTTTTGAAAGCTTACTAAATTTATCTGATTAACTTGTTAACAGTAGGTAGTTAGGCAGACATAAGCAGGGCAGACCCCCACCCCCACCCCAGGAACGTCAGACAACCATCAGGTGATGGTCAGGAAGTTGTTCCACTGCTCCCTAAAATAATAACTGATCGCACCCAGCACCAGGGAAAGGCAGTCTCCCAATAGATAGAAAACACCTGGCCGGGCACGGTGGCTCACGCCTGTAATCCCAGCACTTTGGGAGGCCCAGGCGGGCAGATCACGAGGTCAGGAGATCAAGACCATCCTGGCCAACATGGTGAAACCCCGTCTCTACTAAAAATACAAAAAAATTAGCCAGGCGTGGTGGTGGGCACCTGTAGTCCCAGCTACTCAGGAGGCTGAGGTAAGAGAATGGCGCAAACTCGGGAGGTGGAGCTTGCAGTGAGCCAAGATCACGCCACTGCACTCCAGCCTGGGCAATAGAGTGAGACTCCATCTCAAAAAAAAAAAACAAAGAAAAGAAAAGAAAAGAAAACACCCGAACCTGGTAGGCAGCAGCTTCCCGATAAGATCTCAGGAGTTGGGCGAGTGGGCTCAAGCATGTGCATTGAGAGGTAAAACGATGGACTTCATTTAACTGGTATGTGACCTTCATCTAGGAACCCTAGACTGGTAAGGGAAAAATGCCTCCAAGGAGCATGCACTCGACCTCAGTAAACACCGCACACGCGGCCCCTCCCAAGTGCTGGCAGGCCCACTGCACATGCAGACAGTCCGCCCCAAGAGAAAAATCAGGGGAGAACAGACACACCCCACTGGAAGCAGGCCAAACTATACAACCCTAAGTCAAAAGTCAAACAGCACATTTGAATCTCTCAAGTCACCCACTTGGCCCTCTTCCAACTGTACTTTACTTCCTTCTATCCCTGCTCTAAAACTTTTTAGTAAACTTCCACTCCTGCTATAAAACTTGCCTTGGTCTCACTTTGCCTTATGTCCCCCGGTCAAATTCTTTCTTCTGAGGAATCAAGAATTGAGGTTGCTACAGACCTGTATAGATTCATTGCTGCTAACAAACTCATCCAACCTCTTTCTTTGATTCCTTTAAAGAAAGCATATAGCTTTTAACCAAAACTTCCACTCAAAGAAGTCAAAGATGGATAGCTAGGATACTGCTTGTTTAATAATCCTCATCTCTTGGACATTTATTTTCTCTATTAAACTTATTTCTCCAGCAATTCACCCACCTTCCCTCTTGCTCCCACCCCACATACACTTCCTGGCTTTGAAAAGGAAAGCAGATAGGCAAACTGGTTAAAACTGCACTAAGTAAAGGATGAAACTCTAAGCAAGAGACTTTCTTCCCTAAGCATGCTTTCTTGCATGAATGCTACTCTGAAATTTCATTATTTAGTGAAGAATGCACAGGTGTATGGTCAGACAAATAAAGGCTGCCTTTTGCTAGCTAGTCATTAAACTCTCTGTCCACATTTCCTAGTGGCTGTAACATGAGGCTAAGGATATGTGGTAGGGGTTCAACGACACCATAATGTATAAAATAGCTGGCACTTAATAAACACTTACTAAGTGTTTGTTTCTACCTTTTCTTCCTTCTTCCAAGGTAATAGTGGTACATGACGAGCCCAGGCTCTGACCTAAAATAACTTGACAGCTGGATTTGAATCCAGTCTGCCACTTACTGGCCATGTGACCTTGGGTAAATTATCGAAATTATTCTCTACATCTCAGGTTCCTCATCCTTAGACTAGAGATGGCAAAAATAGTACCTGTCACATGCTGTTGTTGTGAGGATTAAGGATCTTGATACATGCAAAGTGCACAAGAGCGCCTGCAACATAGCAAGCCCTCAATATAAGTTGGCTAGTGTTATTGATATTGTTATGATTTTCAGTTTCCAACTCCCGTGAGCAGGTAAGATTGACAGAGACGTGACTTACAGGTAAGTAAGATGGATAATCCCATGCACTGTGACTTTCAGAGCCTTGATCAACTTCTGAGCATCACATAATTGTTTCCATGAAATAAAGACTTTTGTTCCCTCCAGAGCACCTTTCTCATTCTTGATTTTTAAAAATTATGCTCTGATAGGTTTTCATGATTTGCTTGCACATGACAGTCATTTCACTACCACCACTTCTATGACAAGATTTGGAGAAGATGCTGTTTAGGAAAAGGAACCAGTTGGAGCAATGGATTGATTCTCCAACTTTGTTGCATAAAACATTTAGAATGACAGAGCCAAGGAGTCTAAATTTACACGAGTCCAGTATTTTCCCTTTAGATTTTCATCCCCAATCCCTCAACAAGCTGACTCGGTCAAGTCACCAAATTAAATAAACCTAACTTCATTCAAGTGGTTTTGTGGGGATAGATACGGTTCTGAATGAAATCCTACCTTGAGACTGGGGCATAGGATATTTTGACAGAGAATTGCAGCAGGTTAAGTAGATTCTTATTTAGAGAATCTTGTATTATGATTTTTCTTACCACTGACTTACCTGATTTCACTTAGAAGTGAAATCTAAGAAGTTCTCTGCAGAAGCAAATATTTCCCATGTGTTAGATTTGCTCCCAGGAATAGAAAGACTCCAAGCGCTTCACCTGGGAATTGCAGGCCTTCTTGTCTCACGTTTTATTACTTAATCCTAACCCTGTTTCTCCTCCCTCCCAACAAACACGCTCCTTAACTATGGCTTGCTCATTTCTTACCTCTTAATGGGGGTACAGATATTCCCACTTCCAGGCCCACCCACTCCTGCAGAACCCTTCCCGGGATAAACCCGCCTCCCCAGAACAGCTCACCCCATGGATCTGTTCAGCACCGTCTGCTGCGGTTTTGATTTACTTACCTATAATATCCATGAAAGGTCTTGCTGATGTTTTCAGAACAGAATTCAGTGGTTCTCAACTCTGCCTGCACATTAGAATAACCCGGGAGGCTCTGAGTCAATGTGGAGACCGGATTCCACCACCACACCAATTGATTCAGATTCTCCAAGGGTGGGGCCCAGGTATCTGTACTATTCAAAAGCTCTCAAAGTGTAGCTGGGGCCAAGACCCACTTTGCAAAATGGGTGAAGCCTAAGAGCAGCTTAGGGACTCACAGGGGGTCCCCGGGTGTGTGAGGAGCCTGAGGAGGGAGTTGCAGAGACACCGTGCCAATGGGAGCTCCAGCCGTGGCTCCTTAGCACAGTGTGCTGAAAAGAAAGCCTCTTATATTACATCATCGGATCTGAAAATTCCAGACGTGTCCTGCCTTTTTATACAAAAAAAAATAATGGATAAAATGTACCACTTTAGAGTTGAACAATGAGAACACATGGACACAGGGAGGGGAACAATACACACTGGGGCCTGTCGGGGGATGGGGGCAAGGGGAGGGAGAGCATTAGAACAAATACGTAATGCAGGAGGGCTTAAAGCCTAGATGATGGGTTGATAGGTGTGGCAAACCATCATGGCACACGTATACCTGTGTGACAAAACTGCACGTTCTGCACATGTATCCCAGAACTTAAAATTATATATATAATATATAATTATATTATATAATATACAATATATATTTTATATTATATAATATATAATATATATTGTATATTATATATATTATTATATATAATATGTATTATATATTATATATAATACATATTATATAATATATTATATTTTATATTATACAATATAGTGTATATTATATAATATATAATATATTGTATAATATATAATATATTATATATATTATATAATATATATAATATATAATATAATATATAATATATATTATATAATATATTATATATATTATATAATATATTATACATTATATATATTATATATAATGTATAATATATTATATAATATATAATGTATAATATATATTATATAATATATAATATATAATGTATAATATATAATGTATATATAATATATATATAATTTTAAGTTCTGGGATACATATATAATATATATGTATTATATATATGTATATAAATATATATAAATATATACCGATTTAGCCATTTGAAGTATAGAGTTCAGTGGCATGAAGTACATTCACATTGTTGTACAACCATCACCACCATCCGTCTCCAGAATTCTTTCATCTTCCCAGACTGAAACTCTGCGCCCAGGAAACTCATGCCTCCTCCCTTTGGTCTCCATGAATTTGACTTTCTGTCTCTGTGACTTGGACGATTCTAGGTCTCTCGTGGATACCTAGTGGAAGCACACAATAGTTTCCCTTTTGTGTCTCGCTTATGTCACTTAACATAATGTTGTCAAGGTTCCTCCCTGGTAGAACATGTGGCGGAATTTAATTCCTTTTTATGTCTGAATCCTATTCCATTGTACTGTACCACATTTGTTTATCCATTTATCTGTCAATAGTCATTGGGGTTGTTTCTACCTTTTGGTGGTTGTGAATAATGCCACTTTGAACACTGGTATCCAAATATCTGATGGAGTCCTTGCTTTCGACTCTTTTTGGTAGGTACTAGCCTCTTTTAACTCGGCAAGATTGCCCAGAATGTCTCCTCCACAAACTGAAGAAATAAGAATTCAAGTCTACCAAGAGTTAAGACACTCTATAGATCGAATGGTAGATGGAAAGCAGGCAGGTTGCAAATGGGCATTGATGGACATTTTTTCTTAGTGAAGTATAGGTAAAAAGAATTAGGGAAGCAACTTTGGCTAAAAGTAGAGAAGAGATTCTTGGTCGGGTAAGAGCATCCCCACGCATCACAGAGTGCAGAGGCCACAAACAAGTGGGGCTCAGGCTGGGTCTCGTCTGCACATGTGTGGCCTTGGCCTGCACAGTGTTTTAACTTTTTGAAGTTAATTATCTACATTTGATAACGGGAAGATTTCATTTGAGGAATCCGGAGCTGTGGTTTCTCTTAAAGACTCTGAAGCGTGAGCATCACCGCCCACATTCCATTAAGCAGCAAATGGCCAAAGCTGATTGGCAGCTGCCCCCCTGGGCAGAGGCAACACTCTCCAGGTAGCCACAGTCTCTACCTGTCTCTACCCCTCTCCGCGGTGAACCTGGCTTATGTCATTCATTTGTATTTCCTTCCTGGCCCCTGAGAGCATTTGCTCTTACCACTCAACGATCTAACCCAAACCTCCCAGGGCACAGGTGAAAAACCCGAGCCTCTTAGGGTTGGGTCACTTGGCCAAGGTGACATGGTAACTTGGGCCCAGAATAAAAGCAGAACTTAAGTCACCAGACTCTTTGCCCAGAGCACTTTTTGTTTCCAGCCTTATTGAGGTATAACTGACATATAATAAACTGTACGCAATTAAAGTATACAGTTTGATGAGTTGTGATATATGTACACATGTGTGAAACAGTCACCACAATAAAGATTATGACTATATCCATCACACCCAAAAGTTTTCGCATGTCCTTTGGTAATCCCTGCTGTCCTCTCCTCCCTGCCCACGCCCCCTGTGCCTTGACCCTGAAGTCTCTAGGCAAACATTGATCTGCTTTCTGTCACTATAGATTAGTTTGCCTGCTCTAGAATTTTATAGAAATGGGATCATATAATATGTACTCTTTCTGTCTGGCTTCTTTCACAATTAATTATTGTGAGATTAATTATTCAATTAATCTCAAATAATTATTTGAGATTCAATAATAATTGAATCTCAAATAATTATTTTGAGATTCATCTGTGTTGTGTGTTTCAGTAGTTTATTTCTTTTTACTTGTATGTAGTATTTTGTTGTATAGATATACCACAAGTTTTTATCCAATCACTCTGTTGATGGACGTTTGGGTTGTTTCCAGTTTTTTAGCGATTACAAATGGAGCTTCTATGAACTCCATGAAATACTTCTAGGATGCATTTTTCTTCTTGTATCTTTTCCTTCCCACCATGATACTAGTAATTTACAAGGGATCTGTGTAGTTTGAATGTATTCGAATAACTTTAGCTCTACTGTTTGATTTGGCTCAAAGAAGCCAAGAGGATGTAAGTATTCCCATGTGTTTTAGAAGCCCAAAGTCAGTAAGATGAAACCCAACATCAAGAAATTGAAGCAGGCCGGGCGCGGTGGCTCACGTCTATAATCCCAGCACTTTGGGAAGCCCACGTGGGTGGATCATGAGGTCAGGAGATCGAGACCATCCTGGCTAACATGGCGAAACCCCGTCTCTACTAAAAATGCAAAAAATTAGCTGGGCGTGGTGGTGGGTGCCTGTAGTCCCAGCTACTCAGGAGACTGAGGCAGGAGAATGGTGTGAACCCGGGAGGAGGAGCTTGCAGTGACCGGAGATCACGCCACTGCACTCCAACCTGGGCAACAGAGCGAGACTTCATCTCAAAAAAAAAAAAAAGAAACTGAAGCAAAGTTATTTGTAGATAAAGAAAGCAATGGGTAGTTTGCCTAAAGCATATTAATTAGATTTTCTGGCTTTCAAAAATTTGGATCGCAATACGAGCAAACTTTATGCTATTTTTACAATTTTCAGTACAAAAAAGGTGTATATATAGAAACAATAAAGTTGACACATTTGAGTACCTTTAAAGAAAAAAAAAGACTTACAGGCCAAGTGCGGTGGCTCACGCCTGTAATCTCAGCACTTTGGGAGGCCGAGGCGGGCGGATCACGAGGTCAGGAGATCGAGACCATCCTAGCTAACACAGTGAAACTTCGTCTCTACTAAAAACACAAAAAATTAGCCGGGTGTGGTGGTGGGCGCCTGTAGTCTCAGCTACTCGGGAGGCTGATGCAGGAGAATGGTGTGAAGCTGGGAGGCGGAGCTTGCAGTGAGCCAAGATAGTGCCACTGCACTCCAGCCTGGGCAACAGAGCAAGACTCCGTCTCAAAAAAAAAAAAGACTTACACAAGTCTTTGGACATATGCTTTAATTTCTCAGGCATATATGTAGGAGGGGAATGACTGGATCATATGATAGGCAGCTGTTTAATTTTTAAAATAAACTGCCAAACTGTTGTCCACAGTAGTTGTGCCATTTTGCATTTCCACCAGCAATATCTGGGAGTTCTAATTGCTCCACATCCTCACCAGCACGTGGTTTGGCCAGACTTTTGCATTTTAGCCGCTCTAGTGGGAGACTGAGAGCATATATCTCATTCTGTTTCTTTTCATTCACACAAAATCATTTTATTAAGATCTATTCATGTTGGTGTTACATTTCTAGTTCCATGTTTCTGATTACCACAAACGATTCCATGGTAGGTACCCACCTCATTTGATTAATGCATCCCCTCCCCCAGAGATGGTCCCTGAGGTCATCATCAGCTCTGTGCTCGGAAACCAAACAACTCTGACTTCTGTGAAAGTTTCCATGGTATTCGCCCCTGCAGTGAGAGCTGGTCAGAGGTCACACAGGTCTGTCAGTTAAGTGCATATAATACATTAAGGCTGCTCTCAGGAATGGCCGCACCTGCAGTGTTTGTGGGTTCCTATTTCCTCACATCATCAACAGTATTTATTATTGAATATTCTATTTTTTGGCAAATTTAGTAAGTATAAATACAATCTTGTCATTTTACTTTGCATTACTTTGATTATTAGTGAGGTTGGCATCTCTTCGCTTACTTGTTGATTTTAAAAATTTCCTTGTGCCTTTGTGACTTGCCTGCTCATAATCTTTGACCATTTTTCTACTGGGTTCCCTCTCTTTTTTTTTTTTCTTTTTTGTCTACAGGGGTTTCTTGTCTATTCCATTTACTCCCATTAGTTTAAGGCACTGCAAGCATCTTCTCTTTATCTGTTGCCGTTTACTTAAAGTATCCTTTGTGGAACCTTTATCTTTTGTGTCCTGCATAGGACATAAAAATTTAATATTGCTATAGTCAAGTTCATCCATATTTCCCCATAAGATTTGTGCTTTGGATTCTTCTTTAAGAGATCTTCCGTATCCCAAGGTCATAAATTATTCTCTTGCCTTTTCTTCCTTGGCTTCTTTTATAGTGTTATAATTTTATCTTTCCCATAATGGTTTTTTTTTTTTTTTTTTGAGACGGAGTCTCGCTCTGTTGCCCAGGCCAGAGTGCAGTGGCATGATCTTGGCTCACTGCAAGCTCCACCTCCCGGGTTCACGCCATTCTCCTGCCTCAGCCTCCCGAGTAGCTGGGACTACAGGTGCCCGCCACCACGCCCAGCTAATTTTTTTGTATTTTTAGTAGAGACGGGGTTTCACCATGTTAGCCAGGATGGTCTTGATCTCCTGACCTCGTGATCCGCCCGCCTGGGCCTCTCGAAGTGCTGGGATTACAGGCCTGACCCACGGCGCCCGGCCATATTGGTTTTTTAATCCATCCAAAATTCACCTTGTGGTCGGGCATAGCAGCTTATGCCTGTAATCCCAGCACTTCAGGACACTGAGGGAAGAGGATCATTTGAGACTGGGAGTTCGAGACTAGCCTGGGAAACATAGCAAGACCCTGTCTCTAAAAATATATACAAAAATTAGCCAGGCATTGTAGCTTGTGCCTGTAGTCCCAGCTACTCCAGAGGCTGAGCTTCTCTTGAGCCCAGGAGGTTGAGGCAGCAGTGAACCGAGATCACACCACTGCACTCCACCAGCCTGGGTGGCAGAGCGAGATTCTGTCTCAAAAAAATAAAAGTCACCTTTTGCATAGCATAAGGCAGAGATTCTAACCTTCTATTGTTTTCAAAGAGTGACCCATATTCTCATCACCATCTGATCACTTTCCATTTTATTAATATATGTAGAAAAGTCAGGCCCTCCTCATTGTGATAGAATTAAACCTCTGTGATAAACAACCTGAATTCATGATCTAAATAGTATAAGTGAGGTTTGACTAAATGGGATTATACAAGATGAAACAGGGAGACTACCGTGTGTTTCAAGTCCCCTCACTGGCTGGTTTCCTGCACTTCATGCAACTCCCTTTGTCTCTTATGACACAGGCCAAGGCTCTTGACTCTTGCCAAGTCTACCTCTGGCCTCCCCAAAGGGCCCCTCCCTCCAGATGCTGCCCCATGCAGAGTGCTCAGGCTGGGCCACTTCCTCCTTCCCTGGGCCACACTCATCTCTCTGAAGCCTGCTCGTGGGAACCTCTCCAGGCCCAACCCTTTCAATGCTTCATTAGCACTGAAATCTGTGCTGGGCCCTAAGCGTCCAGGGCTCATTACGCTTAGCCTGCTGGGACGTATGTGTGTGTGTTGGGTGGAGGCTCCTAAATATTTCCTGCTTTTGACAGTTACAAAACCTTTTCACATTCTCACTCATGAAACTTATGCAGCAGGCAGAGCAGTAAATATTTCTCCCATTGGCAAATGAGAAAACTGAGACTCTGAAGACTTTAAATCTCTTGAAATGTAGGCAATTTGCCCAAGGTCACGCGGCCAGAGAAGGAATGGCTGGGACTGAACGGCGGCTCTTCAGGTTCTAGGTCCAGTGGTCACTCAGGAAGCCACAGTCTCTCAATACAGGCCCTGGATCCGCCTTCATAATTACACGGATTGTTCCTCAAGGGCAAGGCAGGGCTTGAGCCTCCAGAAAGCACTTGCATCACCCTGGTCCAAATGAATGGCAGGCATGGTGGCCATTGCACTTGGAGCCTAGCCTCAAACTCCTCCCTTTTTGCTTGAGGCACTTACACTCTGTCTAGCCACAGAGCATGAGCCCTCTGGTAAGATGGAATATATTATTTTTTACAGCATTAATCACAGCTATATTAGACCACCCTTTGTGTGACTAGCATTTAATACCTGCCTCCTTCACAAGTTCCGTCAGGGCAAGGGCACTATCTGTCTTGTTTATAACTATATCCTATGTGCCCAGTTCTGTACTCAATACATATTTGTGGAATGCATGAATGAACGTATGAATGAATGAGTGAGAGAGAGAATGTTTTCTGTACATTCTCAGCCACTGTCTGGGCCCCTGGCTGAATGAACCAAGCACCTGTGTTAGCAATGCTGCCACATACCCGACACCTCTACCACCCAAAACTCTTAACTACAGTGCACCCCTTCCAGGGGGCACCTGCATCTGCCACACACCTTTAGGTTCAGCATGAAGGATAGTTTGCGGTCTGGCCCAGACACCAGTACTATCATAAGGATGTTTCCTCCAGCCCAAGTTTGGCCTGATCCCTGCCTGCCCTCTCCTGCTGGCCCTCCTCCTGCAACTCTGCATCCCAGGACACCCCGTGTCCAAGACCTCCCAATTAGGGCCCTCCTCTGTGCCGCCTTCTACGATCCAGCCCCATGGTCTGCAGAAAACAGACTCTCAATAGCTGATGACAAATAATGAGTTCTTTATTCCTCCTGGGAAGCCAATTTCTCATCTGTCCCATAGATCTGAATGGAAAACACAGATGATTGGTAAGTAGGAAAAAATGCTTCTCACTTCCAGCAATGTGCCCAACCCTGCCTGTGTTCAGAAATGTCAGCCATCAGAGAACAACACATCTGTGGTAAACAACATTTCTGGAATGATTGCTCTAGGAAGAAGCATGGCCCTAAGTACTCCATCGGATGTGAGCCTGGTCAGGAGAACCACTAGAATACTCTCCTAGAGCACCCAGGTCCTGCCTGAGTGAGCTTTTTGTTACATGGATAAGCCAAATATTAAAACACATATAGGAATACATAAACACACACACACACACACACACACACCCTGAATTGATTTAGTATGCAGTATGGTATGGGGCAAGGGTTTTAGAGTCAGAGAAATGTTTAAATTCTGTCTCTAGTTTATCCTAAGTAGCTTATCTGGGCAAGCTACTTCTCTGAATTTGTTTTCTCATCTATAAACTGGGGTAATAATACCTCATAAGGTCGTTGCAAGAATTGAGATAGATAAATAAAACTCCATCGATGTAGTAAAGGGCAGAGAAGCAGTGGCTGTGATTCATATCAGTCATATTTCAAAAGCTGAGTATGTAGATGTTAGGCAAATGTAGAATAAAGACGGCGGGGGAGAAATCTTGGGAGAGGTAAGGTCAAAGCAAGGTTTTGGAGAAAAGGAAGAAAATGGTTTGAAAGAGAGAAGGGAAGAGGGTGTTTGAGTCAGAAAAGAAGGCCGGGGAAGACACAGGGAGGAGGGAGGTCAGCTCTAGTCCTGGATCTAGTTGTGGTCACCGCCAAATAGTCCCAGGAGGCAGTCTTGCATTTCCTCAAGATCTTATACGGTCACTGGTTTTTTTCTTGAACTTTCCACTGAAGTAGACTTAGACCTTCTGCCCAGCAACCTGAGACTCTGGGGAGATGCCAGCATGACTTGTGGGGAGACCCCTGCCCTCGAACATACTCTCCAACCCAGCCATCATCTTACCCTGCTCAGGGACTCTATGGGATGAACGTCGTTAGTGAGGCCGGTGAGGGACACACACATTCCTAAAGCTCACTTTGGAAGGCAAGTCTCATCTTGTCTCTTGTCTTTTCATTTTAACAAGCTAGAGGGAATCTTGCTGTGCTCCGAAGTCTCTCTTGTCTGGGGGAGAAAATAATACTAAAGTGCTCACTATTCAAAATGAAATCCTTAAACACAACATGAGTGTCACCTGGAGCTCGTTTGCAATTCTGATTTCAGGGCCCCACTCGAGACCAACTGGATCAGCATCTCTGGGGGTAGGACCCAAGAATCAATGTTTTAACAGGCTCTCCAGGTGATTCTTATGCACATTGAAGTTTGAGAAGCACGGATTTAAGGAACAGTGTAGATAAGTCAGCCTCTCTTGAGTTCACTTGCTTCAGTCTAGAAAGTTTAGGTGACTTTCTAGACCTGGGAACAGGAAGTTCATTCTAACACTCAATTGTGAAAGCCATCATTTCAAAATATAGAAGATTTCTGGAGACTCCCACATGGACCAACCAGGAATAATCATAACATAAATTGAGCTTAAAAATATAGCTATTTGGACTGACCTACTTTATCAGCTTATTTGATTGCAGGCAAAAGAAATAGAATCTTGCTATCTTAAGCACAGAAGGAATTTAGGAGAAGATACAGGACTGCTTACAGAATCTGAATCAGAATCAGAAGAATCAGTCTCAGAAAAGCCAGGAACCAAGGCAGGACCTAGGTAAAGAAACTACTGGAAACTACTGGAAAATCTGGATAAGGAGCTGTTGCGGTGCTTAATTGACTATCACAGCTTTCTGGAGCGGCCTCTGCCTATCTGAGATGCAGATTCCCGAGGGAGAATCCGATTGGCCATGGCACGGTCACGTGCTAAGCCCTGGTCAGTGCAAAGCCGGAAACCTTGAGGGATGGTGCTAGCGCCCGTCCAAGGCTGTACACAGTAGGTGCTGGATGGTTCCTCCGAGCAAAATCAGGCACAGCTCCCAGGCATGAGGGGATGGAGCCAACAGGCAAAACAGTGGATGCTCCCTGCCTCCCCTGGCTAGCTGAGTATAACTGGACATCAGCAGGAGAAATACAGATGTGGAAGCCTTCAGAGAGATGAAAGGAAATGTGAAAGTTTTCTTAGAGTGGCTGGGGGAGTTCAAAGGCTAGGAAAAACAGAATGGAGACAACAGTATGATTGGGTGTAGTTGTGAAGGCCAAAGAGGATGGCCTGAGGTAATGACTTCAAGAAGCCCAGCTCCTGGAAGCTGACAGGGTCAGATGCTCTGTGTGCCCCTGTGGGAGGGAGGGAGGTGCAGATTCAAAGAGATGTCTGTGAGAGAAAGTCAAGGAGAGGCAGAGAGTGCAGGCGTCCGGCCTCCCTAACACACGCCTGTAATCTGAGCACACAGAAAGAGAGGACAAGCTCTTCCTCAGAAGCACGGTGCGGAGGTGCTGGGGTGGGCGGCTGGAGAGCCGGGAAGGCGGGCTATCATCGGCATTCGGGTTAAGAGTGCATGCAATGTGACAGCAAGGACCTAAAAGAGACACCAGTGCCAGGAGAGAGGAAGGAAGGAAGGAAGGAAGGAAGGAAGGAAGGAAGGAAGGAAGGAAGGAAGGAAGGAAGGAAGGAAGGAAGGAGATTTCATAGCACTACATGTATCTATATTGTACAACTAAATATAGAAAAAGAAACACATTTCTTTGTGGTATTTGCTCATTTTTATATAGTAGGTACTTTTAATGTACATAGCAGGAATTTATCTATCATTGTTTAATGACAGCATTCAAAGAGATATGTATGGTTAGAGATATAAAACATATATAGTTATTTTACATTTTAATTTATTTGTAGCTAGCCAAAATAAATTAGCCTATCAAAATAAATAGCCTATCAAAAGTTATATATCTAAAATACTTTGGCTAATAGTGGCACGAAACACCATGAAAATCTGACACTTCCCTAAGAAAAATCATGAACAGTTTCAATACCAGATAACACAGGGCCAATACCTTAGTGTTTATTCCACACTGACCCCAATGCAGTAAAGTGAGAATGGGGTCTGTGAGAGCCACCGACCCAACAGCTACACTAGGCTGATTTAAATCAGAAGGCCAAGGTCCTGCATTTCACCTACTCTGATGCTTTTATCCCCTGAGGCCAGTACAGCATGAAGTTCTGATATCATTCTTTTGAGTAGGGCGGGGGTGGGCAACAGAGAGCAACAACAGGCCCAAGGCTTTGGCAAGTCCTTTGGGGGTGGAATGAGGACACCGTCTTTGAAGGCCCTATTCCCTCCAGTGGGCCTTCCATCTGGCAGGGAATTGAGATGGTCTCTCTTGAACCCTCAAGAAGATTGTGACCCACAAACTAAAGGCTGACAGTCTAAGTAAGTTCTAGGCAAGAGTTGCCCTTGGGAGCTTAACTCTCTATTGGCTTTGGCCCCAGCAGGATACCCCAACAACTGTCATGCCCCATAGACAGCATTTTAAAAACATCTCCTTCCACACCAGAACCCTGACATTCCAATTTGATATGTAGAAGCTGGCAAGTTCCTGCCTCAGCCTATGCCCAAGGAATCTCTCTTCTGTGTAGCATCCCTGCCACTCCACCCACCCTCATACATCTGCTCCCTAGCAGGACTTGGTGTGCCTTTTACCAGCCCAAGCTACTTAGAAAGCACAGTTGGTGCATGATTTATCTCCCTGTTCATGCCCATGCTTAGCATTGTGCTTTGTATTTGGCTAGTGCTGAAGAAATACCTCGGAAAATGCTAAATAATACAAATTCTGAAAACAGTTTTATAGGGAATTGTGAGTACTTAATTTAGGAACTCTTACTGGCTTATGTCTTTTGGAGTACAGATAAACATATGCTTTTTAATGCTTGGTGCAGATTATAAGTGTGTAAGTAAAGTGCCTGGCACATTGTAAATTTAACAAATATTGATTGATTAAATGGATAAATTAACCGAAGAATGCATACAAAGAAAGAAAGGTTATAAAAAGCATTTCAGAAATCCTCAAATCAAAGTGAAAAATCAATGGCAAGATTGTGATGGATGTCTCCATTTCACAGTGAAATTCATGGAAAATCCACAATTCTACAAGATGCATGAACAACTATAACCTGTCCATTGATCACTCCTTTGTCATTATATTATATTATATCATATTATATTATATTATATTATATTAATTATATTATCAGAATATCAGGGGAATTTGCCTTTGTACATTTCTCAAATTAACTTTTAAAATTATCTGATTATTTTTAGAAAGAGATCCCACTCAGGTGAAACTTTGAAATAGAATTTAACTATAAACAAATGCTGTTTAATTCTCTCCTAAATTGCAAAGGTCAGATTACTTTCTAAGGTCTGGGTTTTCTTTAGTGAGGAAGATGTGCAAATTAGGAATTAAACGATAAAGTCAGACCGGCTCATCTAGAAGCATGGCCTCTCTGCTTTTTAATAGGGCTCTTTTCCATTCGGTTTGAGATAAAGTGGCCCCAATTATTTTAGAATCCTTTAAAGGAAAAGATATCCATAAATTAACCTATAGTCTTCTCCTTATTTCACAGAGAAATTAAATTCTTACTTTAAATGACTTAAGTCGTGTTGCACAAAATCAGACAAAACTCCCTTCTGTAGTGCCGCAAGAGACAGACACAGCAGCACAGAATTATGGAGGTAAAAAGATAAATAGAAATAGATATAAACACACACCCCACTAGCAAAATTCAATAGTAAGATCAAAGCTAAACTCTCTCCTTCACAGAGTTCCTGTTAAGATTTTTTCCCCCTCTTCTGCACCATAATCTGAGTCTTGGATACTTTGCTTCCTATTCAGCCTCAAGATCAAACAGCTCACACACATCTGCTGGGGTAAGGTTTGGGTTTTGTTTCGTTTTTTTTTTAAAGGCATTCAATAATTGGTGACGGTAAGATGAGAAGAAGAGTTTGAACATCAACATAAAGGCAACAGCAAAATACATCATCACAGTCATTGTGCCATGGAGATGAGGGGTTGGGGGGAGACGTGCCTGCATGAGGGTGCAAATGTTTGTAAAAGCTAACTCCAACATATTCCAAGGAGAACATTCTCTGATTATTTGCCCTAGCATTTAGAATTAACCTTTTAAAAAAAATAGGAATTGTTTTATTTCATCTCTTTCCAAATGGAATTCTGCTTCTGGCCTGTTTTGAGAGCAAAGAGGTCAGAGGCCTGGCCTCAGGAAGCATGTGGTCTCATGTAGGAGTTAGGTATGCCCATATGTAATTGGAGCATGAGGCAAAATGTGGTCCCCAGGGAACAGGAATCTTCTGTGAAAGTGCAGGGCAAGAAATGCTGTCTTATGACAGCAGATGGAGAAGGCTTCCTGGAGGAGGTGGCATTCAAAGAGAGCCTTGAAGGATACATTTCATAGGGTTTTGTTAGGGAAGTAGATGGAGAATGACCCAGGCAGGGGGACTGGTAGGAACAAAGTGGTGCTGGAAAAATACACACATATTTAGGGTTCAGTGTAACTGGGGTACAAGAGCTGGCATTCTCCCCTCCAAAAGCTATGAGCCCTGCTATTTGAGGGGCTCACACCCTCTTACAGTCATCCTAGAGCCAGCCCATTCTGATAGTTAGGTTAAGTAATGGTAAGCTGCTATAACAAATAACCCCCAAGTCTCGGTGGCTTGATATAATAAAAGTTAATCTCTTGCTTAGACAAAGTCCAGTGCAGATCAGCAGCTCTCCTGGTGACTCTCTGCATGCAGCCCTAGGGACCCAGCCTGCTTCCATGTGCCACTAACCTGCAGTGTGACCTTGGGCAAGTCACTTCTGTGGACATTACATTCTTCATTTACAAGACGAAGCTGATAGTTCTTGACCACCTACCTTATGGGATTATTGTGACTGTCAAATTCTTAGTAAACAACAATAATTATTATAATTATAAAAGCCTCAGCACTTATTAAATTCTTACTATTCCATAGTCACTGTGCTATGTGTCTTGAGAACATTAATTCATTTACTCCTCATAACAGTATTGTCACAAAAGTTTTGCCACTATTATTGTGATCATTAGGTGGGTTTTTTTTGGCATTCATAAGTGAAACATAATTGTAAAGGAATATTTCTTGAACATATCGAGCAGGCTTCCTGCTTGGGGCCTCACACTTGCTAAGCCGTCTTTTAGGGATTCTCTGGCCAGGTATCAACAGGGCTAATGCGCAGCCTTCATTTGGGTCTCTAGCCTCGTATCATTTCTTCAGAGAGGATGTTCCTGTCTGATCTATGTTCTCAGAGTATCCCTTATACCCCACCATTTTCTCTATCCTCTAGCCCTGTTTTATTGTTTTTTTTACAGCATTGTAACCCCCTGGCATATTGTGCTTTTGTACATTTATTTACCGTCAGAGTCCCCAAGCTAGATTCTAAGCTCTATGATGGCAGTATTCACTGCTGTATCTCCAGTGCCTAAAACAGGGTTTAGTGTGCAGTGGGTGCTCAGGAAATATTTGTAATAATCCAATCTCTATGCTGCAAATTGATGTGGGAAAATAAGCCTTTGTTACTTTTCTTTTTCAGCAGAGAAGCTGTATCCAAAGCACAGCTGCATTATTTAGAGGGCTGTGAGTCTAAAATGTGGACACCGTACAGCCCAGGGTGAGGAAACCTACCCACTGTGACCTGTCAGCTCTCTCCCGGTGAAAGGTTAGAAGGAGGCATGCTCCCTCTCAGCCCCTTCTCGGGCATCTGGGTCGCCTGTGCAGGCTTTAATCAAGTTATCATATCTAGCCAGGGTCTCCTGGATGCCGTCACTTCTGAATGAGAAAAAATTTGCAGACAAATTTCTAGCAGCAGGAAGTTGGTGCTCTCCTGCAAGGCTGCCTGAAAAGCACCTGCAACATCAGCAGCCTCCCTCCTGCTCCTGCTGGGAGCCGGCTCCAAGCCTCTGGCTTTGGGACTGGAGGGCTTTCTGCTCATTCATGTCTAGCCTACCTGCCCCTCTGAAATATTGCTCTGGTACCAGTGCTGCCAGCTGGGCATGGAGGAGACCTAAGCCCACGTCCAGGCTGGCGACATCTCCTTAATAAGCTTTCCTGAGTTGCTCTAGTCAAAGGAGAGGAAATCACGAAGCCATCAGTGCCAGCCAAGCCTGCCGGCTGCATTGTCCCCATGAGCGTGGGGCATGTGAGGCGGTGCCAGGAAAGCTCACTTTAACTTACAAGAGCCCTGTTCAAAGGAAGGGCTGTGCTGGCCTCTATATGTGCCCAGCCATTTTCACTTGTAAAGTGGAAACTGTGAGAGAAACACAAAAAGCACTTTTCCCCTTTCATTAGAAAGGAAACTTTTTTTCCCCCTAGGAAAGAGAGTTTTGCTGGAGAGAAAGAGTTGAGAGGATAAAGATATTGGCAGAGCTTAATGCCATAAATCTGATTAATTTACCTTGTGACACTCTCAACAAAAAAGTGAAGGGTCAGAGCCTTGCCTGCAAACTGACCTTTCACCTGCAGCCACGGTGGTAACAATGAGAGCCTGAGCCGCCTTTCACAGCTACCTGCTGCTTCCTACAATGAGATTGGACACAGTTTTCAACATGATGGAGAGCGCCTCCAGAGCCAGCGCCCTTTGTTCTTTCTGTCTGTGGGGTGGAAAGCGCCCAGGCCAACGTCTTCACCTTCTAATGTTCACATAGGACCAGACAAGATCTTCTGTCTCTGGGACAGAGCAGAAAGGAAGGAAAACAGAGTGCTTTCTCTATGATTCATTGAGCGAACATATATTTAATAGGTTACAGAATATACGAAGATGAATAATCCTTGGTCCTTGCCCTAAAGGCACACAGGAGACCATGTCACTATCTGAAACAGGATGCAATCAGCCCCTAATGTATGGGAGGTTCTCAATGCATGATCACAGGGTCAATGATTGATGGATCTGTGAGGGCATTTTATGCAAAGGAAGATACGACAGGAGACAGAGTCTGGAATTGCCGGACTGGGAAACTCAGAGAATGACATTCACCTTCATCTCTTAAATCACAGCATTGCACCTAAGGGATGGGGAGTGAGCTGACCCTCCCTCTGCAGTTCACATTTCTGTTAAACAGTATCTCTGACTACGCAGGATCTCATGGGACACAGCTTGCTTATACTGGGATGCCCGTCATGGCAACTATTCCTGGGAATGCGCAGCCCCGTGTAGAATACTTTCCGAGATTTCTCTGTTCCTGCAAGTTGCCACATCGTGTTGCAGCCCTTGCAGCTTTCTCGTTTTGTGTTTCACCCCAGTCTTGGAAGAACGTATTAATCGAGGGCAACGTGCGGCAGAATAGGGCACTGAAATGGGAACCAGCTACTCAGTCAAGCACCGCCAGAACCTGTTATCTGTGGAATTCACATTGGATTCAGCCTTGTTTTGTGGTAGAGTTGTGCTGTGTTTTTAAATTCACATTTCTCTCTGTCTCTTCTAAAGACACCCAGTTTTTACGGATTCAGCACTTTCCAAGCCTGGCTGGGCCCATTTTGAACAGCTGGCAGCCACAGAGACTTGAAAACACCCCCTTGAGCGGTGGAGCTCAGCTCCCTGGAGATTTACGATGGCAGCAGATGGGCCCAGGTGGGCTCATGTGAGAATCCCAGACAGGTCTAGCTCCATCTGCAGACTGAAATTGTGTCTAAACAGGAGGCTAGGCACACTCACCTTCTAAATTCACTTTGAAACTGCTCAAAGTGTAAAAGGAATTTATTGACGCTGAAAGGTCTGGAGCATGCAGGCAAGACACCAGGAATTTCTCAGGAAGAAAGAAGGGAAAGAGAGGAAGGAAAGAGAAGGGGAGGGAGTGAGGCATAGAGAGAGATGAGCTCTTAACAGAAAGTGCACGTGACAAATTAGCACAGAGCACGATTCTGCCATGCCACTGGTCTGGTCTCCCCAGCTGGTGACTGGAGCCCCTTCTGTGGGGCACTGATGGTCAGGAACGTTGTCCACCATGGCTCGGCTCTAAGAAGGAGCAATCAATCCTCCCTTATCAGCTTAGAGGGGCCTTTAGGGGTCAACTAATACTAGACATGATACTAGACACCACCAGGCAGGTGATGGTGGCGGTTGTGGTTCTTTGTTGTTTTGGCCATGTTTACGAATCTGAAGCCCAAGATTCAAGGCAGATCATAGGGCAATGCCTCTGCTGGAAGTAGAAGTAGGAGGTAGCCTGGAGTCCCAGCCCCGGAGACATTTCTTCCACCTTATCCTACCAGTTCTCCAGCTTCCCCAGTTGACCCACAAAAGGCATTGAGGGTGAAACCAACTAGTTCGTTCCAAGGCCCAAGTTGGCAGAAGGCCCCAAGAGAAGGGAACTGACCTGAGTCACTCTGAGTGAGTGATGGCAAAATAGGACCAGAAACAAGTCTCCTGTCCTCAGCCAGGTTCTTTCCCTCACACTCCAGGCAAGCTATGTACCTGGGCATCACTTCTTCCTGACTCTTCAGAAAAGGGATGGAGGTTGCTACAATAGCAAGAGAAGCAGGAGGAAGCCATCTGGGGCTGTGGGTCCTCCCCATCCCAGGCACACATTTTGAAGCTGCAGCCAGGGAACATGTACTGCATGGGGCTAAAATATCCTGAAACCACCGCTAGCCCCAGATTCAGACAGCCAGATTTTGTCTGGGTGCCATATGTCTGGCATCTTAGAGATTTCATTTCCATTAAAAACATAAGCATCGGCCAAGCACAGTGGCTCATGCCTGTAATTCCAGCACTTTGGGAGGCTGAGGCAGGCAGATCACGAGGTCAGGAATTCGAGACCAGCCTGACCAATATGGTGAAACCCCGTCTCTACTAAAAATACAAAAATTAGCCAGGGATGGTGGCACGCACCTACGATCCCAGCTACTCAGGAGACTGAGGCAGGAGAATCGCTTGCACTCGGGAGGTGGAGGTTGCAGTGAGCGGAGATCACACCACTGCACTCCAGCCTGGGTGACAGGGGAAGACTCCGTCTCAAAAAACTAACAAACAAACAAAAAAAGCATAATCATCACAATAAGGGGAAAGCTGAATTTATTTGTTCATTCAATGCTTATTAAAGGATTTACTTGTGATTTATTGATTTTTAAAAATAGAAAAGTAAAAGAGAACAACAAAACAATAGATCACATATTCTCCAGGCAACTTATGGCCTGATGCCAGCATGAGGCCTGGCTTCAATAGGATAGTCGTGATACGTTGAAAGGTACATTTCAGTTCAGAAATCAATGAGAGAATCTGATACAATTTGAACAGATGAATAATGTGAGCAAAAGACATTCCCCGGCACTTAAAAAACATTGTTTTGGAAGATCATCCAGACTTGCAATTTAATACCAGATGTTGGCGTCTGGAGAGAGCCTGGTTTGACAGTTTGGCAGGAAATATGAAGAAAACACAAATGGCAATTCAAAAAACAAAAAATAAAAGTTATAGCAAGGATTGCTGCAATGACCCAGTTAAGCAGTCCTGGAATGTCAGAAAGCCAGAGTTTATCACCCGTAAAGCTCAGGTCATGGAAAGGGCAGCTTGGGCCCTGGAAGGTTCCGGAAGGGTATCTGAGGGTGAGGAAAGGGAAAGTTCTTTGGTGAGCTCCCTGAGGCCGTCAGTGGTGGAGGGAAGCAGGCCAGAGGGTACGGCTGGTTTCTGTGATGTGGCTGCAGGGGCGAGAGGGAATGTCTCTCCCAACCTACTATTACGGCAGCTGCGGTTGGGCCCATCCTGACAGCTGGGCACTGGCAGAGAACACAGGAAGCTGGTTGACCCCAGCCATCAGCACAAGCGGGAAGAGACAGCGGTTCTCCCAAACCCTGAGTCCAGGACACACCACTGCAAACTCCCAGGAGCCTAACTGTCCGGGTTTATATTGTACCTTCCTGCTCGTGGCTAGAAATTCACGTTACATTTTTTTTCAAGATATAATTTACATGCAGTGAAATACTTAGATCTTAAGTGTTTGTTCAGATTTGGCAAGTGAATACACTCATCTGCCCCGTACCTTGATCAAGACACAGAACATTGCTCTCACTCCAGCAATTTCCCTCACGCCTCTTCCCAGTCAACTCCGCTTTGTATACACACAACGTAAAGCAACCACTGATCTGAATTCTGTCACCACAGGTTACATTTGCTATTGCAGAACTCTATAGAAGTGGAATCATACAGTGTGTCCTCTTAGGAGTCTGGCCTCCTTAATTCAGCATGTTGTTAAGATTCATGCATGTTGTTGCATGTATCAGTAGTAGTTCATTCCTCTTTTTTTTCTTCCTGAGTAGCATTTCATTGTATATCACAATTTGTTGTTTATTCATTCACCTATTGTTGGACATCTGAGATGTATCCAGCAGTTAGCTATCATGAACAATCTTGCTATAAACCTTCCTGTATACGTCATTGTGTGGACATATGATTTCATCCCTGTAGGGTAAATACCTAGGGGTGGAATTGCTGGGACATAAGGTAGTCACATGTCAAATTTGTAAAGAAACTGATGAACAGGTTTCCAAGGTAGTTGTTCCAAGTTCATATTTAAAGTATGACTATCCAGGTGGTCTCTGTGCTTCAGGCATGTGAATAACTGCACTGCTATGAAGTGCAGGTGGAGATGGTATAGCACAGTAATGAGTACATGTGCCTGGGGTTTGCGACATCTCAGTCACATTTCTGCTCAAGGGTCTTGGTTTCCTTATCTGCCAAGTGACTCAGTTGAACAGACAATGTCTAAGGGTATTTCTCTTTCTACTATGAGATGAGTCTTTCATTCCTTCACTTACTAGGAAAGCAAAACAAAAATATGTTAGTGATTATTTTCTTTAAAAGTTAATGCCTGCTTTGTAACCTGTTGTTAGATTTGTCATCTAACAATTTCAAGCCCTGTGTCAGATATAATACTTGCAGCTGCGCATAGCAGAAAACCCAAACTGGTTTAACCAATAAAGGGGAACTATTAGCTCATGTAACTGAAACAAGTCCAGAGGTAAGGCCAGGGCATAGACATAAAGTGACCAGGATTCCTGCTCCATGTCTCCATGGTTCTCTTGGCTTTGCTTTCCTCTTTTTGATGGCTTTGTCCTTAGTTTGGAAACAAGATGGCAGCAGTTCCAGCCCTCACTTCTGTGCACAACAGAAGAAGAGAAACTATACTTTCCAGTGGTTCTTTCTTACAAATGAAGAAACTTCTTTCTCGAAAGGTTTTAAAAAACATCCCCTCATGTCTCATTGGCTGGCATTGGATTGCACGTCCTTTCCCAACCAATCTCTGTATGCAGAATAGTGCCATGATCAAATTAGCATAAGCCTGGATTCCCGGGCCAGTCAGTGATCCATTATATTCCCTGACCCTACTACTGTAGTTGGGATGAGGCCAGTTTCTCCTAAAGCATATGACTATGTAGAGACAGAATAAGTGCCTCCTCTTCAAAAAAAGTGTGTGTGTATGGTAGATATTTGGCAAGCAACTAGTGTCCACATAGAGCCCTTCTTCACAGGTATAGACATTTACCACATGGCCCTTACCAGAGGGCTAACAAGGGATCATCCAGAAGAAGACTCAGAATCAAAGGCAATTTGGTAAGTGTGGCAGGTTAAATATGATCACAAATACTTTTCAGCTCTTCCCATCAAATGGTGGAGTCTATTGTCTTATCCTTAGAATCTAAACTGACTTTGTTTTGACCAACAGAATGTGTCAGAAGCAGTAGTGTGTGTATTCCACAGCCTAGGATTTAGGAAGGTCTAAAGGTCTTCCCCTGCTCTCTTACAATATTCCCGCCACCATATGAGGAAACCTGGGCTAGATGACCTAAAGATATAGGATCACATAGAGAGGGAAGTTCAGCTGACAGCCAGCTCAGCTCTAAGGCACCAGGTATGTAGTTGAGCCCTCTTAGATCCTTCAATCCAAGTCAAGCTGTCAAATGACTGCAGCCACATGAGAGACCCAAGGCAAGACCAGCAGAAGAACCACCAAGCTGAGCTCAGCCAACCAATGGAATTATGAGAAATAATAAATCATTGTTATTTAAGCCACTAAGTTTGGGGTAGTTTATTACATAGTAATAGGTGAGTAAGTCAGGAAGGGCATTTAAAACTCTTCTAGTCTCTCCAGTGGGTGTGGTCTACTGAGCCTATCAGATACACTCACTACTTACTGAGATACAAGGCAGCTCATTCCATTTTTAGAGCACTCTACCAGAATGCCTTCCTACTATAAAAGCAGATTCAGCCTCTCTTGTGCTTCTTTCAGCCCCTCTTGTGCTTCTTTCAGCCCTGGGGTCTTTCAGCCCACTCACTGGGGTCATAGAGAACAAGTCCAACCCCTCAACCACATAGAAGCACATCAGCTAACTGCAGTCACTCATCTCACCATGAGAGATCATCCTTTCCCAAAGGGTTCTCGACCCTTTTCTATTGCTGATGGAATGGAGAATGGTGAACCTAGAGGGCCAGACCAGTTAGGGGGCCATCACAATTACCAGATGATGCCATGAGGGTATCCTGAAACCCTGGGTCCATGGCTGTAACTTGCCCCTGGCAGGGCCTACGCTGACTTGTGGGAGCACCAGTTAACCTGCCAATATAAAGTCGGCTTTGATTAAAGGGGAATGAGGCAAGCAAGAGGGCAGGGCAGGCACCCACTGGCTGCTGCAGGGAGGTCCATGTGGAGGAGAAGGACGGGCCCAGCAGACAGGCACTGCCTGAGATTTCTGTACCCTGCAGGAGCTGGGGCAGGAGGCAGGGTAAGAGAGGCTACTTGTGGTACAATCTGTTCAGGTGGGCCTCTCCCTCCTTGCCCACCCTGCTGTCTTTGCAGGGGTTCCTGGGCCTCTACCAAGCAAGTCTTCAGTGTCCCAGCAGAGAAGGAAGCCTGGTTATCAGGGTGCCTGGGGAGTCTGTGTGTCTCCCCCAGCAGCCCTCTAGTGCCCCAGGGACTGAACCACATTTCTTTCCTCTCTTTATGCCCTGAAGCACACTTGAGCACAGGGCTTTTAGGAGGCCTCAATAAATATTTGTCACCAGAACTTTGCGCAGTCAAATAGAAACTGCACGTTGACACTCTTGGATGGGATTACTTCAAGCTACCCCTTCTCAGGCACCTTGGGTTCTCAGCAACCTCTGACAGTCAGCCTCTCACCCACTCCTCTGTGGGCCTCAGCAGCTGAAGTGGGGATTCCAGGAGTCCTTCTGCCTGGCATATAGAGGGTGGCCCTGGTGAGGACCCAGCGTGCTGTGGAGGGAGAACAGGGAAGTTGCCCTCAGGACCTGACTCCTATGGAAGACTCCTCTGCTGTCTGTGCCCTGCTTCAAGGTGGGAGAGTGGGGTGCCCTGGTGGCCCCCAGGCCAGACCAGAGGCTCGATGCTCAGGGGGCAGGCAGCCATGGTGAAGGAAAGCAAACCTTGCTATTCAGGGAGACCAGTGCCTTCCTCAGAGGATGGGAGGGCGGATATACAAGGAGGCGTCCGGGGGCAAAATAACGGTGTAAGGAAAATGGTACTGCCCTAGAAGGCAGGAGAAGACCAACTAGCCAGAAGCTATCAGAGTCCTGGAGTCCCATCCACCTTCACTCCTTCGGCCTTTTTCATAAAATCGCTATGCCCTAACTCTTCTTCATTCCCCAGTCATGTTGCCACAAGCCACTCCTCACACAGCACCCTCCTCCCCTATACCCTGAGCAGTGTGTTTTCCTGAGAGTTTATATTTTTCCCCTTTGCAAATTATTATCTCCAGACCCTTGAATCTGGAAATGAGAAAATCAATTAGCAAGGGATTACAGTCTCAGACATTTTCCCCCACCTTTTGCTTTAGAAAATATATCAAGAAATCATTGTGACTCTTTAGATGGATATTTCATAAATCTACTCAGTTGAAAACTCAATGAGTGAGATAAAGGTTAAGTCAGATCCCTCAGATCTGTGTGTGCAGAGGTATGTGGAAGCCGCCAGGGAGAAAGGCCCTGAGTGAGGTCACTGTTACCACTTTCTGCCTCAAAATGTAAAGATGCCTTTAACAGAGATAAGGTGAATAGAAAGCCAGCCTTTTGCTTGAGATGAAACTATTATTTTTAAACTGGTCCTAAAAAGTCTGACCATTTCTCAATTTTGTGGGATAAAAAAAAGAATTCAGTAAAAGTTGTGCCATCCAAATTTGATGGCAATTAAGAAGCAAAAGTATCCTCTTTCAGGGAGTGAAAATTTTTCAGACAAAGAAACTGAGTCCTGGAGTGCATAAGTGATTTATCTGAAATCAAAGACACTTATTTTCTTCACTTTTCACACCACAGACTCATGAAGCTTCTGATCAGAGAGCACTAAAACCCAATTGGCTTGTTTCAGGCAAAGGAAGTGCCAGAAAGTCAGAGGTAACTGACTAACTGCTTCCACCTTGGCCCCACCAAATGCTGCAGGGTGATAAGGGTTAAATCAGACAAGTCCCAGCTCTCAGAGCTGCGTGTACTGAGGTGCATGTGAACAACCCTCCCCAGAGAAGGGTTCCTTCTGTTATCTTGATGGCAGGAGTATTCAGTGCCCTTTGCATAACCCCCAGAGCCTTGAGTCTGACTGCAAAGTTTGCAAAGACTGTCTCCAGGCTGTAGCCATTGCAAGTGCTTTTGCAAAGATTAGGCTGTTTGATAAACAGATAAAGTTGGAACTGGAAGGGACTTTAGAGTTTGCCCAATTCAGACCTCTCAACTTTCTGTTTTTTCAAACAGAGGAGGAAGTTGCAGCTCAGAAAAGAGGCAAGAATCATCCAAGTGACACACAGTGACTTGGCAGCGTTGGAGCTGGGACGAGAACATGAGCTTGGGTCACCACCTTGCACAGCCACAGGGGAAGGGTGGCTCCTCGAAAGGTCCCCAGAGCTCTCCTTCAATCCCGGACCACATGCTTCCTCCTTCCAACTATCAGCTCCAACTATTTAGCAGTTGCTGGCTTTGCACAAGGAGAACTGGGAGTAGTCGGCATATCGTTGGTTTGCAGATGGGTCCACCAGCTCAGCAGTTGAAGACAATGCCCCCTTCAACCTTCAGGTTAAAAACATTTATTTTCTTAAGCCGCATCCGCATAAGAATCACCAGGGACTCTTGCTAAAATCCAGCTCCCTGGGCCCCATGTCAGAGTAGGAAGATGAGGGACTTCATTTTCAGAAGCTCCTCTGGTGACTTTTAGAATAAAGCAAGCCTGGAACTCTCCCTCCTTCTTTTGTCTCTTCAGCCTGGCATTCAAGACTCTTTGCTATCAGCCTGACTTCCTGCTGATCACATTTCTATGCCTCACGGAACTTTTTGGCATTTCATAAAAATTTCGTAAATTCATAATAGTGAAAGCTACCATTCGCCCTGCACCTCTAGAGTACAACACAGGCAACTCTCATTGACAGACCTCTCCCAGGCAGATGAGGATAACGGCCCCCACTTACAGTGAAGACTAAGGGATGGGAAGTTTGAATAACTCTTCTAAGGGCACAGAATCCTCACTCTCAGTCACTTCACAGCACTGTTTCCGTGAGCAAGGCCTTCATTTTTCTCACACATATCTTTGTTTATGCCATTTCCTCTGCAAAACTGTCACGCCTTCTGCCTGCCATCTCTGCTTGATAATGTCCGGCTCATTCTTTCCGGCCAGCACCACTTCCCTCTGCTTCTTTTTAGGCACTTGCCACGTTATGCCTTGTGCTGGAGGTGATCGTAGGCACTTTCTCCACTGGCTTTTTAATATTTTTTAGAGATAGGGTCTCGCTCTGTCGTCCAGGCTGGAGTGTAGTGGCTCACTACAGCCTCAACCTCCCAGGCTGAAGCAATCCTCCTGCCTCAGCCTCTCAAGTGGCTGGAACTACAGGCACACACCACTTACGTCCGGCTAATTTTTGTATTTTTTGTAGAGATGGGGTCTCACTTTGTTGCCCAGGCTGGTCTCAAACT
Source organism: Homo sapiens (assembly GCF_000001405.40). Taxonomy (NCBI): domain Eukaryota; kingdom Metazoa; phylum Chordata; class Mammalia; order Primates; family Hominidae; genus Homo; species Homo sapiens. Next base: position 193,912,501 of record NC_000003.12, read on the forward strand.
CTTGGGCTCAAGCGATCTGCCTGCCTCCGCCTCCCAAAGTGCTGGGATTACAGGCATGAGCCACGCACCAGGCCTGCAGCCACCTTTTATCAAGCCTCCACCCTCACTCCACACAGCAGCACCAGTGATCATTTTTAAATATCTTTCAGGTCATCTCACTCCAGGTTCATCAGGTCCAATGGCTCCCCTCTCCCTATGAGCAAAATCCCTTGCCATAGCCTGCACTGGCTCTCTGGCCTCGTCTACTTGGCCTACTTCTGCCCTCCTCGCCCACCCAGCTGAGCATGCTGGCCTCCCTGCCAGTCCACCAAGATGCCACACACACTCTCCTCTTCACAGAAAGGCCTGGGCATACAAGTGACTCTCTCTGGTTTCCTTTGAGCCTCTGCTCAGACTTCCCTTTGTCACAGAGGCTTCCCATAACTTCCAATATAGGAAGGTGGCTCCTTCTTGCATGCACAAATGGGGAGTCAAGGCCCAGTGGAGGAAGTTTGTTCTTCAAGGTCACACATCAGCCAGTGGCAGTCAAGACTGACACCTGGATCTTTCAGCTTCTGCTTCAGTCCTTTTGCTGCTGGTCTCTCTGACCAGCAGATCCTAGAATCCATTCTTAATGCATGGATTTGTCCAATTTCCACCAAGCACAGGCTGTGTAATCATAAGCACAGCTTCACTTCAAAGCCTGCATTTTCTTAAACATAATGGGAAGGGGGTGGAGGGAGGCAAGAAGCAGAGATGTACTTGGCCTCCAAGGTCTTCTCTGAATCAAATAATCTTTAAGGAAGGACTGAGCTTTGACACCTGACATTCCCACCCCTACCCCACAGCAGATGCAAAATATGTGAGGGCTAAAACACATGAAATTTTATGGACCTTTTGTGAGAAAAAGAATATAAAAGGTTATAGATAAAAAATAGATATTAATATGGATATTTATTCAGAAAACTGGGAAATACCATAAACATATTAAAATTTTTTTAAAAACAGTATTTTTAGTAATTCATGTTTCATGTACACCTGTAATACTTTTTTAATCTACATTTTTTACTACTTTTTGATTGCTGCTTAATATGACAATGATTTTGCTATATTATTTTCAATAGAGATAATAGAAAGATAATTCACTCATTCTACTAGCAGGGTTGACTGGAGTTTGTTACATTATTATTGAAAGTTGGGGTCCATACAATTCTTGATTTCTCACTAGATATGCTTGTTTTTTATAGCACTCCTATACGTCTGTTTCTAGAAACACAGGAATTCTCATGATTTCTATTTTACACAATTTGCATTTAAAAAGAAGAAAAAACATAGTACATGTACATTATAAACCATGCTTTATGAAGTATAATCCTGAGAGGGGAGAACTTTCCTTCGACCAGACATCAATGAAATGAATTCATGCCTTTACAACTGTGTACACGTGATACTTAGACACTTTTTTGTACGGGTTGGTTTCTAAGTCCTTGCAAACCTTTCTTCTTCTCCATTACCCACAGACCTCCAGTGTTTAGTTTAATTCTTGACGGGCTCTCTGTCTGGTCTGTATCTCTGTGCCATGACAGCAGGTGAGTCGGCACAGTGTGGGCATGTTCCTGGAAGTCATTTCTACATCAGCAAGGCTAGAAATAATGTGATTGTACGCAGATGGACAGCAAAAGACGGCTCTACCTAAGGGAAGCTTGAGTAGGGCATGCTTTAGTTTGGACTTATGAAGTATTGCATGCTTCATATTTCATGAAGTCCAAACTAAAGCACCCCCTACTCAAGGTTCCCTTAGCTAGAGTGCACAGTTGCCCTGGGGCCACTTTCACCCCACTTGACAGCCCTTGGGTATGATGGAAGGAAAATCAGAGTAAAAATCGCATTCTTAACTAATTGTGATTAAAATATCTGATTTTTGCAAATTTTATGAAGACAAATGGCATTGAGAACACTTGGAAGCTTAAACTTCATTATCTTCATGTGAATTCACCCCTGCCCTTGAAGCAAAAAACTGCCCACTTCTCCTACCTGTGTGAGAGGAATTCAGCAAATTTAGCCAGTGAGTTAAATCAAGGAAGAAGAAGGCTCTTTGACCTCACGATAGTTTATTTTTTTCTCGGTAGAATAACCTCAATAAACTTCAGGCAAGGGCTCAGCTGTAGAATGAAACCTTGATGAGTTCAATTACAAAGGATTACACAGGGTCTTGCTTAAAATATTTTGGCCTTGTGTTTCATTCTGTGTTTAAATTACTCCACCATCATTTATAATCCTCATGACATTCTTGTAAGGCAAGTAGGTGGCAAGGATTATTTTTTATGGTGTTGAAGCTCTGGTTCAAACAAGGCCAAAGTCTGGCAAATGAAATGTAATCAGCAAGTTTTATATGAAAACAAAGGAAACCAAACATTGAAATCTTCACTATTAAAGATAACTTTATGTTATCTGCTTACCCTAAATACCATTTGATGTTTTGTATAGTTGAGGTATACAACTTAATAGCAATATTTTCAATGTATAGATAAAAACTACTTTTAGAAAAGGCAAATTTTGAAAGCAATTATATATTGTCAGCTACTTTCTTAATAGATCTCTTTTTATCTTCTCAAAAGGACTATAAAGTAAAATAGCTTGAAGATGAAAGAGTGTGATTTTCCATTTAAGGGGCAGGCCACTCTTTCTGTTGGCCAAGAGATCGTTGATATATATTTGAAGATAAATAGTTAATAAAGGTGTTTGGATTGCAACATCTGTTGCCATTCTTGGAAGCTGGGACTTAATTGCGGACTGGAGCATCAAATCTTCAGAGAGTTCGTAAGACAGAGATTGATTGGGGTCACCAGGTTACCCAGAAGTAAAATCCCAATCCTTATCTTTAAAATGCAGTGTCCAATTGATTCTCTCTGGATCATTACACACAGCACATGGAGGTAAAGCCAAGGAGAGGAATGGTCAAACATTATCCTTTTCAAGATATCTAAAAAATAAACCATAGCGGTGCTTTGATTTTGGTGAACAGTACAAAGTGGAGCGCCAGCTAAGGCTCAGAGCTAGAGGTAGCAATTTTACGTTAATTAATGCATCTCTCAAATGTACATTCAATGAAAAGAAGCACTGGTAATGCCCTGTTTTTCCACCTTAAAGCCTCAACCACAGATGCCAAGTCTGCCCAGCCAGGGCCAGCAAGGTGAAAGCTCAACTTGTAAGTCATAGTGTTCTCCTGCCATTAGCAATCTATAAAGTCAGAAAAATAAAGGAGATGTTTCTATGATTGAGATGTGATCAGCATTGACAGCCAGAGATTGCTCTTCAATTGCATCAGGAGAACCAAGTTCTGGTCAGGCAGTACCACTAAGCCACCATGTGACCTTGAACAAGTCAACCTCCCTCCTGGGCTACCATGGTTCTCTCTTTAAAATCACAGTGTAGACTAAATAATTTTTAATATTCTTCTCAGAATTTGAACTTGAAAGTCTATTGTCTTTATTTTAATTGGTAGCCTTGCTCTGTGTCTTACTTGAATACCTTTCCTGGAACTCTGGCCCTGAATTTAAGAACTTATCCCCCTCCCCAAAGACAGAGACTCAACAGAAAAGGCCTAAGCCTTGGTCATAGGTACCATGGTCCAAAAGGACAAGGGATGTGGCTCTCCAGCTGTGAGTTTACATTGGTAGTCAGTAGATTCTGAAGGAAACCAATGAACAAATTTCTAGAATCTCCCAGAGAAATGGTGACATCAACAGAAGATATAATGCTACTTTGCCCATGGGAGCTGTAAGAAAACAGACTTGTAGCTTCCTGACGAACTTTAATTTCACTGGATTTTCCTTTTTGACAGACATATGAGCAAAAAACTCAAGCTTAGAAGATAACTCCCAGGACCTAGAACATCAGGGAAGCCTGTTGTATAAAACCATTCTACTGGTATCCAGGGCAGGGTCCCCTCAGAAAGGAATGTGTGAGAAAATACCACGGCAAGTTAAGTACCATATTTTATAAGCTTAGAAAAGAAGGGAGACATTGAGGCATGTCTACTATTTGCTTTCTCTTGTTGGCACATAAAAGGTCAGCACTTAGAAGCTGAGATTTCACTGTCCAATAAATATGAAAAAATGCTCCCCTGAAAAAACCTGCCCACCTGAAGGTATCATTAATTATTCTTTCTTATTAGAACTAAACTATTTTAAATTCACCTATATGTCACAATTATCAAATCAGGTATTTAGTATCTTGTTACAAGGATCACAAAAGACAGTACTCTATATAAAATAGAAAAAAAATTAAGCTGCCTTGTAATAAAGGTTACTAAGCATATTTCTGATACAGTTGCAATGCAGGGTGTCATTCTGCCTTTTAAAATTATTGCTTTTTTTTAATTTGGAAAATATACATTTGGAATTGTTACATAATTTTGTTATTTGTTCAATGCTCACCCCAGGCTTAACAAATCATTTGGAAACAGAAGAAAGATGAAATCTATTCATAGTAAAGCTTTTTGCTCCTTTAGACACACCGCACATACACACCTGTTCAGATTCCCCCTAACCGTTCACATTTCTCTGCTCTTCTCTGATCACCTCATGATGTTGTTGCCTTAATTAGCTCCTGCACATTTTTAGAGGTTTAGGAGGGCTAAAGATTGCTTGTTCCCATTTAAAGGCCAGCATGCTTTCTGCTGCCTGGTAATCCAGTAATATATTTCTGCTGAGTTCCATTGTATCCCAAGAAAGAGGAGAGTCACACCAAGGAGACGGCTTCACTTCAGCTTCCCCTTTTCCTTTCTTCCCAGCCAGGATGCTTCTGGCTGGCCCAGAAGTAAGTTCACATATTGTGCCAGGCAGCCAGAGAACAGCTCCTTAGTGCTTGCGCTAATCCTCCTCTTTACTAAATAAGCAAGTCAAGCTTTGGGGGTAGGGATGGGAAGAAAATTATATAATTTGAGTTAATTGGTTTGGGGCTACCCAAAGCCCCAGCTGCATTGAAGGGAACTGTTTGGTCTTCAAGACCCAATTAGAGACATTCAGCTGATGTAAAATAGATTTTATTCTTTTTCTGAAAGTTATTGTCAAGAGACTCAGCCTTCATACCATACCAGAAAATATCCTTTAATCACAGGCTTCCCAAATGCATTCTGAAAACCTGTCTGGAAATAGGTATATCTAAATGCATGGAAGGAATATAAAGACATGCAAACTAACTAGTTTATTTTACAGGTTCAAGAATTCACCTTCTAGTGATAAGACAGGAACTCCTTTTCAACAACCCTTCAAGTACTATAAAATGTGTGTTAGCTAATCAAACTGTATGAACAAATGATCCAACCTCTATCTTTTTTTCTGAGAGATTGTTTGGACAGGCTTGAGAAATTCATGTTTGGCCTTCTTAGAGCTGAGACGAAACCACATGTGACTTCTGTTTGAATGATCAAAGTGTAAGGAATGGCCAGAGTGACATTAACTTGCAAAGAGCCACACTTTGAGTCTCCACTCTGAGTATTCAGAGTGAGAATCATTGCATGTTTAAAATGACTTGAGCTGTGCTGGCTTTTTGGTCCCGCAGCCTTTTCAAACGATGCTTGAAATTGTTTTTTTTCAAACCAATCTTTTCAAAAAGGCTACTCCTTTTTGTAAGGTCCATGCAACCCAGAAATAAATTAGAAGCAAGAATTGTAAAGTGCATAGGTAGTACCTATGTTTAGAGAATGGCTAACTTGGTGCAATAGTTGCTCATTTGCACTATTTCCTGAGAGAGGACCACGTGCATGGGATGGGAAAGGAAATATAATTCGGACCAAGTCCTTATCCACAAAGAACTTTCAAGCATGCAGAGGTAGGAATGAATGAGGGAATTACAGAAACAAGCACAAAGTTGAGGAAAACAAAGCAAGGTACAAATGCACATACTAGAGGGTAAGAAGAGGTAGAGAGCTAGTTAGAAATTCTGTAACCCGGGAGGCGGAGATTGCAGTGAGCCGAGATGGCACCACTGCACTCCAGCTTGGGCGACAGAGTGAGACTCCATCTCAAAAAAAAAAAAAAAGAAAAAAGAAAAAAAGAAATTCTGTGAAAAAAATGATGTTCACGATGGGTCTTGCAAGCTCAGACTAGGTCTTAAAAGCTAGAGTCGGCCAGGCACGGTGCTTCACGCCTGTAATCCTAGCACTTTGAGAGGCCGAGGCAGGCAGATCACCTGAGGTCAGGAGTTCACAGCCTGGCCAACATGGTGAAACCCCGCCTCTACTGAAAATACAAAAAATTAGCTGGGCATGGTGGTGGGTGCCTGTAATCCCAGCTACTCAGGAGGCTGAGGCAGGAGAATTGCTTGAACTCAGGAGCCGGAGGTTGCAGTGAGCCAAAATCATGCCATTGCACTCCAGCCTGGGCAACAAGAGTGAAACTCTGTCTCAAAAAAAAAAAAAAGCTGGAAGTCCCAGCAGGCAGAAACATCACTTACAGTGCTCAAGACCCCTCCTAAACATCATTTTGTTGGGAAGATTATTCTAGAGGACACAATATGAAGAAGAGGACAAAGACAGGAAGGTTTCAGAGAGACGTCTGGAAAACATTGAGCAATGCAATCGAAATGAAACCACGAGTATTTGTGGGGAACACACGGAGACTGAGTTTGAAAGACTAGATCAGGTGCAGATCCTAGGCCTTGACTGCCCAAGTGAGAAATGTGTACCTTGTTTCAAAAGCAATGGAAAGTCACCTAAAGATTTGAAGCTTAGAAATGAATGAATGGATCAGAACTCTGCTTTTAGCCAGGGTCTATGACATCAGTGGACTGTGTAGGAAAAGGAATAAGAATGAAAGCCAAGCCCAAAAGAGCTATTCCAGAGTGTGGAGAGCATGCACTACTGCAGGCAAAAACACTTTATCCAGTAGGAGACCAAGGTGTGCTGCATCCTACAAACAACCAAAGACCTGATTCTGAGATAAGCAGGATGGTATCCTGAGAAGTGACTTTTATTCATTTGACAGATATAATTGAGTGCCTGCTCTGTGGTAGGTACTGTCCTGGCACGTGGGACACATCAGTGAATGAAACAGATACAGATCCCTGCCTCGCGAAAGAAGTAATTACCTCTCACATGGTGCTCCACATCCCCTTCATAAACAGCAGAGGTGAGAGGCCAGTTTCTAAATAAGAGCTTTGACAAGTACAGCCCTTTCCTTATAGTTGTACTTTGACAAGTACAGCCCTTTCCCTATAGCTACCAAACTGGTGTGTGGATTAGGAAGTAGCAAGACCACGACATGCCTCACGATGTTAGAGGTCCTGTAGGGAGGTGAGCAAACAATGTGCATGCTGCATACAGCTAAACCAGCAGCATCAATATACAAGGGGTGACATCAGGTAGATAGGGGCTGCCCCAAAGACCAGAAGATGCCATAGTCCAGAAGCAAGTGAGATCAAGAGCCTGAGCTTATGTAAAGACATAAGGGAGGTAACTTGGCAGGAAGCAACATAGAAAAGGGAAAGCAGAGCACTGAAATATGGCATTGTTTGCAGAGCAGGAGAAGGACTCTGGCTGCAGACAGCTCGGTCCAGCCCTTGGTGCAGGTGCCACATGGAGACGGATCCATCGGGGCATTAGGACATCATGCCCTTGATATAAGCATACTCCTCGCTACCCCTTCTTGCCCTGAGACTCTGCTTTCCAGGCAAGAAGCTGCTTCCATTTAGCTTCCTTGGAGAGCTTGCCTACAAGGAAATGATGGGCTGGACATGAGTTTGTCTGTCTCCCCAAGAAAGACCAATTACACCCTCCAAATGGATGAATTGGAATGCTCCTCTACATATTAGTTGCCTGTACGACAGACTCTGTGAACAGGATCCTCCCAGGAGCTCAGCTCGACAAGGGCTGATCTTGGAACTGGCTGACTGGCTGATCTCACCAAGCACAGCTAATCCTTTTTTTTTTTTTTTTTTTTTTTTTGAGACGGAGTCTCGCTCTGTCGCCCAGGCTGGAGTGCCGTGGCGCGATCTCCGCTCACTGCAAGCTCCGCCTTCCGGGTTCACGCCATTCTCCTGCCTCAGCCTCCCGAGTAGCTGGGACTACAGGCGCCCGCCACCGCGCCCGGCTAATTTTTTGTATTTTTAGTAGAGACGGGGTTTCACCGTGGTCTCGATCTCCTGACCTCGTGATCCGCCCGCCTCGGCCTCCCAAAGTGCTGGGATTACAGGCGTGAGCCACCGCACCCGGCCCACAGCTAATACTTATAGGGAACACTATATACCAGGCCCAGTTGTGAGCACTTCATGTGTATGATTTCATGTACTCCTTACAACCATCCTATGAGGTTACCAGGATTCTGATTTTATCAATCATGTTAAGTAACCTATGCAAGATCACACTGCTAGAAGGTGGCAGAGCTGGGATTCAAGCCCAGGTTCTCCTGACTTCTGGCTACACCATTCGGGTATACAGCAGGTCTCCAGGATCCCTCTATTGCCTGCTCTCAGCACCGTGAACATCCAGTCCACATTGGGGTGAATGCGATCGAGGGTCCTTCGGGTGAATCGCCACTTCATTCCCACTATTACATCACCTTAGTAGAAGCATTTCACTGAAATCTAACACCCTGTACATGTATATAAATCACTTGATTCTTGTTGGAATCCCGAGGAAGGCAGAGTAGAGATCATCCTCTCCATCTGACAGAGAAGGACTCAGATTGGTGAAGGTGAAGCAACTTACCAGGGTTATGTGGCTGGCATGAGAGAGGCCCGCCTTTAGAAGTCATGTTCTTTAACTCCTAACCTGGAGCTCTTTCCAATGGCTCTTTAAGAACAGGCTTCTTTCTGATATTGGCACATATATATTGGCCCAGGTAGTGCCTACCAGAGCACCGGGCATGTAGCTCCAGGTGACTCTGTGGCACTAAAGTGATTGGTATCAGATCAGCCATTCACCCACCTCTGCAGGCTGAGTCTGATCCTGACCTCACAGGACAGTTTTTAGGAGTGGGGCTATGGAAAGGGGCTGGAAGAGCAGACCCTGATAATCATAAAATCTAATGCTCGCTTAAGGCTGCCTTGGCCCAGAATGTTCTCTAAGTACACTGAGTGTATTCACGCATTTAAACCTTGGCAGTAACCCTGACCAGCAGATGCAACCCTTGTTTCCATCTTACAGATAAGGAAACAGGGAGGACAGGAAGCCCTGGCAGGTTTGCCCAAACTCACACAATCAGTAAGAAGCAGAGCCAGAATCAGGATGCAGAGCCCACTCAGAATCGCACAACAACATAACCACACCACACTGCCACTTAGACAAGTGGTGTCATCCTGCCCAATGCCATATTTTCCTAGATGATCTGAGTTGAGTGTCCCTTCAGAGGCCCTCGGTGGATCCCAGTCTTCCCATGTGAGAAGTGAGGGATTGAACTTCATGATAAAGAACATCCTCCAATTCTCCAGTAGATTCATGCTGACTTCCTCCTGAATGGGGCCCACTGGAAATACACCCCCGCTCTGCCAATATTTTTATTCAGCTTTTGTGGTATTACATTCAGGAACAGTTTCAAAATCTAAAAGCCCAAAGGAAGCTGAGCAGGAAGGCCACCTAGAATGCCTCCTACTCCTAAGAAAGCGGTGGAGTGTCTTCAAATACAACCGCTGAGGTAAATCCCATCATTAGAACTTGCCAGGAGATGGGGGTGGTTCTGCCTCTGTGGGGTCCTAATCGGAGCCCTTGTGAGAGAAGCTGCTTCTGAATTTTTCTCATTAACTCCTCACAGGTGCACAGGCCCCCACTGAAATTGGACTCATATCAGCTGAACCCGTAGGGGACCTACAACTGCAGAGCTCAGCCTAGTCTCCTTTTTTTTTTTTCTTTTCTCCTCCTCCCCCTTTTTTATTTGTCTATTTACTGGGTCAAACAATTGAGAAGACTAAATTCTAAACAGCCTTTGTTGTTCCTGCCCCTTCATCCCCTTTAATTCAAAAGGCAGAATTCAAAAGCAAGGCCATGAAACATCGTCTTCCAGAAAGTTAAACAAGGACAGGCAGTTATAGATGGCAGATAAGACTAGTTTGTCAACAGACACCCAACGGCAAAAGGGCATAACTGGATGATACGCCAGCACCAAAGCCTCAGGCCCAGCAGGATTTTACCTGGGATAAGCCCCCTGCAAAGCAGGGCACCGTCTCTGGAGTGATGGCGTCAACAAACCAGCATGGTAGCGCACTTCTTCCTCTTACATAGGAGGTCATTTGCACTAGGCCAGCCACACAATTCATTTTGATTCTGGCCCATGGCTATGGAGTAAAAATGGAAGATGACACAGACTCTCTGAGACAAAAAAAGAAAACTGTGAGCCAAGCTCATTCACTTAGTCTTTCAACAAAATCTACTGAGCACCTACTCTGTGCCAAATGCTGTGTGAGGTGAAAAAAGGACACAGAAACCTGTGCCCTTCAGAACTTACATAGTAGTAGACAAGTTAGATAATAAATAAATATGTACTAACCGTATGTGGACAACCAAGGAACATAATGAAGCTGGTTGGTTGCTCCTAAGTTCAGTGGACAAAATTATGAAAGAAAATGGTGAACTCAGGGATTCTATCTCCTGGCTTTAGAGGCAGAAATAGAGCCTCAAATCTGCTAAGATTGCCCTGAATGAGAGTCTTATCTCCTGTAGAGAAAGAGCTGAAACTGTGGAAAAGCAGACACAAGCTCTTACCATGCGAGGGGCTGATCTGCAAGGAAAGATGCATACTCAGCCTCACCAGGTGTTTACTGTTAGAGTGAGGGCATTGATTGGAAAATATTGGGACCCTGAAACTTGGAATGGGGATGTGTGAGAGGACCCTGATGAAGCTGGAGACACTGAGTTTGTAAACTCTGATGAAACTTTTCTGCCAGAAGAAACAGCTTCCCCATCTCCAGTAGTGGCAACATCCCCTTCCCGACCCATGCTGCCATCAGCCTTTCCATCTTTATCTGAGGAAATAAACCCTGTGCTGCCTGAGGCAACAGCGATGGCCTCCCCTGAGGCAGTTTCCAGGCAGGATAATGTTGATTCTCCTCAGGAGCCACCCCCAACACCTCTGTTTGCTTCTAGACCTATAACTGGACTAAAGTCCCAGTGGGTCTCTAGAGGTGAGGAGATGAGGTTGAGAATGTGACCCACGAGGAGGTATGCTACACTTGAAAAGAACTGTTTGAGTTCTGTAATTTATATAGGCAGAAATCTGGAGAACAGGCATGGGAATGGATATTAAGGGTGTGGGATAATGGTGGAAGGAACATAGAGTTGGATCAGGCTGAATTTATTGATTTGGGCCCACTAAGTAGGGACTCTGCATTTAATGTTGCACCTCAGGGAGTTAAAAAAGGTTCTAATAGTTTATTTGCTTGGATAGGTGAAATGTGGATTAAAAGATGGCCCACTGTGAGCGAGCTGGAAATGCCTGATCTCCCTTGGTTTAATGTAGAGGAAGGGATCCAAAGGCTTAGGGAGATTGGGATGGTGGAGTAGATTAGTCACTTTAGACCTACTCATCCCAGCTGGGAGGGTACAGAAGATATACCCTTGACCAATGCCTTGTGAAATAGATTTGTGAGGGCAGCACCTGCATCTTTGAAGAGCACTGTAATTTCTCTTCTCTCTATGTCAGATCTGATGGTGAGAACCACAGTCACTCAACTACAAAATTTAAATACAATGGGAATAATCAGATCCCAAGGTGGCAGGGGCCAAGTGGCAGCACTCAACCATCAAAGGTAAGGTAGGCATAGCTACTGTAATTGACAGCAGAGGCAAATGGCAATCAGAATAGTCTAACTCATGTAGAGCTCTGGCATTGGCTAATTAATCACAGTGTTCCTATAAGTGAAATTGATAGGAAGCCTACTGCATTCCTACTTGCTTTATACAAGCAGAAAACTTCTAGGTTGAATAGACAAAAGACTAATTTGAATTATAAAAACAGAGAATCACAGCCCCTCAATCAGTTTCCAGACTTGTGCCAGTTTACAGACCCAGAACCCCGTGAATGAAGGGGAGGCCGGGTCTCCTTGAGGAAGGACCCCACTACATTACCAACAATTTATGCAGTGAATCTTTCTCCCATCCTTCCCTAAGGACACCTCTGGCCTTTTACCAGGGTAACTATGCACTGGGGAAAGGAAAATGATCAGACATTTCAGGGACTACTGGACACTGGTTCTGAGCCAATGCTGATTCCAGGAGACCCAAAACATCACTGTGGTCCTCCGGTTAAAGTAGTGGCGTATGGAAGTCAGGTAATTAATGGAGTTTTAGCTCAGGTCTGACTTACGTTGGGTCCAGTGGGTCCCCAGACTCATCCTGTGATCATTTCCCCAGTGCCAGAATGTATAATTTGCATAGACATACCTAGCAGCTGGCAGAATCCCTGCATTGGCTCCCTGACTGGTAGGGTGAGGGCTATTATGGTGGGAAATGCCAAATGGAAGCCATTAGAGCTACCTCTACCTAGAAAAATAGTAAATCAAAAACAGTATCACATCCATGGAGGGATTGTGGAGATTAGTGCCACCATCAAGGATTTGAAAGACGCAGAGGTGGTGATTCCCACCACATACCTGTTCAGCTCTCCCATTTGGCTTGTGCAGAACACAGATGGATCTTGGAGAATGACAGTGGATTATTGTAAGCTTAACCAAGTGGTGACTCCAGTTGCAGCTGCTGCACCAGATGTGGTTTCATTGCTTGAGCAAATTAACACATCTCCTTGTACCTGCTATGCAGCCATTGACTTGGCAAATGCCTTTTTCTCCATTCCTGTCCGTAAGGCCCACCAGAAGCAATTTGCCTCCAGCTGGCAAGGCCAGCAATATACCTTTGCTGTCCTACCTTAGGGGTATATCAATTCTCAAGCTTTGTGTCATAATCTTATTCAGAGAGACCTTGATTTCTTTTCGCTTTCACAAGATATCACACTGGTCCATTTCACTGATGACATTATACTGATTGGATCCAGTGAGAAAAAATAGCAAACACGCTGGAGTTACTAGTGAGACATTTACATGCCAGAGGATGGGAAATAAATCCAACTAAAATTCAGGGAACTTCAACCTCAGTAAAATTTCTAGGGGTCCAGTGGTGTGGAGCCTGTCAAGATATTCCTTCTAAGGCAAAGGATAAGTTGCTGCATTTGGCCCCTCCTACAACCAAGAAAGAGGCACAATGCCTATTGAGCCCATGTGGATTCTGGAGGCAACACATTCCTCATTTGGGTGTGTTACTTCAGCCCATTTATTGAGTGACCCGAAGGCCACCAGTTTTAAGTAGGGTCCAGAATAGTAGAAGGCGCTGCAGCAGGTCCAGGCTGCTTTGCAAGATGCTCTGCCACTTGGGCCATATGACCCAGCAAGTCCAATGGTACTTGAGGCATCAGTGGCAGATAGGGATGCTGTTTGGAGCCTTTGGCAGGCCCCCATAGGTGAATCCCAGTGGAGGCCTCTAGGATTTTGGAGCAAGGCCATCCTCTACAGAAAACTACTCCCCTTTCAAGAGACAGCTCTTGGCCTGTTACTGGGCTTTGGTGGAAACTGAACGTTTGACTGTGGGTCATCAAGTCACCATGTGACCTGAACTGCCCATCATGAACTGGGTGCTTTCTGACCCATCTAGCCATAAAATGGGTCATGCACAGCAGCATTCCATCAGCCAATGGAAGTGGTATATATGTGATCGGGCTCGAGCAGGTCCTGAAGGCACAAGTAAGTTACATGAGGAAGTGGCTCAAATGCCCATGGTCTCCACCCCTGCCACCCTGCTTTCTCTTCCCCAGCCTGCACTGATGGCCTCATGGGGAGTTCCCTGTAATCAGTTGACAGAGGAAGAGAAGACTAGGGCCTGGTTCACAGATGGTTCTGCATGATATGCAGGCACTATCCGAAAGTGGACAGCTGCAGCACTACAGCCCCTTTCTAGGACATCCCTGAAGGATAGAGGTGAAGGGAGATCTTCCCAGTGGGCAGAAGTTCGAGCAGTGCACCTGGTTGTGCACTTTGCATGGCAGGAGAAGTGGCCAGATGTGAGATTATATACTGATTCATGGGCTGTAGCCAATGGTTTGACTGGATGGTCAGGGACTTGGAAGAAGCATGATTGGAAAATTGGTGACGAAGAAATTTGGGGAAAAGACATGTGGATGGACCTTCTGAGTGGTCAAAACCGTGAAGATATTTGCATCCCATGTGAGTGCTCACCAGTGGGTGACCTCAGCAGAGGAGGATTTTAATAATCAAGTGGATAGGATGACCCGTTCTGTGGACACCACTCAGCCTCTTTCCCCAGCCACCCCGTCATCGCCCAATGGGCCCATGAACAAAGTGGCCATGGTGGCAGGGATGGAGGTTACACATGGGGTCAGCAACATGGACTTCCAGTCACCAAAGCTGACCTGGCTACGGCCACTGCTGAGTGGCCACCAGTAGAGACCAACAGTGAGCCCTCGATATGACACTATTCCTGAGGGTGATCAGCCAGCTACCTGGTGGCAGGTTGATTATATTGGACTTCTTCCATCATGGAAAGGGCAGAGGTTTGCCCTCACTGGAATAGACATTTACTGTGGATATGCGTTTGCCTATTCTGCATGCAATGCCTCTGCCAAGACTAGCATCCGTGGGCTCACAGAATGCCTTAGCCACTGTCATGGTATTCCACACAACATTGCCTCTGACCAAGGCACTCACTTTGTGGCTAAAGAAGTGTGGCAGTGGGCTCATGCTCATGGAATTCACTGGTCTTACCATGTTCCCCATCATCCTGAAGCAACTGGATTGATAGAATGGTGGAATGGCCTTTTGAAGTCTCAATTACAATGCCAACTAGATGACAATACTTTGCAGGGCTGAGACAAAGTTCTCCAGAAGGCCCTGTATGCTCTGAATCAGCGTCCTATATATATATGGTACTGTTTCTCCCATGGCCAGGATTCATGGGTCCAAGAATCAAGGTGCAGAAGTAGAAGTGGCACCACTCACCATCACCCCTAGTGATCCACTAGCAAAATTTCTGCTTCCTGTTCCCACGACATTACATTTTGCTGGCCTAGAGGTCCTAGTTCCAGAGGGAGGAAAGCTGCCACCAGGAGATACAACAACGATTTCATTAAACTGGAAGTTAAGATTGCCACCTGGACACTTTGGGCTCCTCCTACCTTTAGGTCAACAGGCTAAGAAGGGAATTACAGTGTTGGCTGAGATGATTGACCCAGATTATCAAGTTGAAATCAGCCTACTACTCCATAACGGAGGTAAGGAAGAGTATGCATGGAATACAGGAGAACCATTAGGGCATCTCTTGATATTACCATCCTCTGTGATTAAGGTCAATAGGAAACTACAACAGCCTAATCCAGGCAGGACTACACATGGCCCAGACCTCTCAGGAATGAAGGTTTGGGTCGCTCCACCAGGGAAAAAACCACAACCTGCTGAGGTGCTTGCTGAAGGCAAAGGGAATACAGAATGGGTAGTAGAAGAAGGTGGTCATTGATACCAGCTATGACCACGTGACCAGCTGCAGAAACAGGGACTGTAATTGTCATGAGTATTTCCTCTTCCCTTCTTTTGCTAAAAATATGTTTGTCCAGGTATATGCTTGTACTAAGAAAATATCTTTATTTTATTTCCTTTTCCTTTATCATGTGACATAAGATTTATTGACTTCATATCAGCATTTAAGTATTGTTAACTTTATGTAATAGTATTTGGGTTGGGGATTGGTGCATTTATCATTGTACCAATGATAGTCGTATTATGTTAGGTATAATTATGACCTTATTATTTTCTTTATTTGAAGATTATGTGTGATCTCATGAGATGTGTATGAGTTCAAGTTGACCAGGGGTGGACTTGTGATGGTTAATGCTGAGTGTCAACTTGATTGGATTGAAGCATACAAAGTATTGTTCCTGGGCGTGTCTGTGAGGATGTTGCCAAAAGAGATTAACTTTTGAGTCAGTGGACTGGAGAAGGCAGATCTACCCTTAATCTGGTGGGCAAAATCTAATCAGCTTCTAGCAAATACAAAGCAGGCAGGAAAACATGAAAAGGAGAGACGGGCCTGGCCTCCCAGCCTACTTTCTTCCATGCTGGTTGCTTCCTGTCTTCGAACATCGGACTCCAAGTTCTTCAGTTTTGGGACTTGGACTATCTCTCCTTGCTCCTCAGCTTGCAGACAGCCTATTGTGGGACCCTGTGATCATGTAACTTAATACCTAATAAACTCCCCTTTATGTATATATGTCCTGTTAGTTCTGTCCCTCTAGAGACCCCTGACTAATACAGGTGGTCAGGAAGGTGACATTTGAATAAAAAGCATGAGTCATGTTAGTATCTGGGGAAGACTGTTCCAGGCAGAGAGGACAGCAGATGCAAAGCTCAGAGGCAGGAGCATCCCCAGCATGCCTGAAGAACAGGAAGAGGGCTGCTGTGGCTGGTTAAAATGAGGGAGGAAGAATTTAGGAGATAGTAACCCCAGACTTTTGGCTCCCGGAGCTAGTCACTAAGAAGAGGTGGGAGTGAAGCATCTAATACTCTCATCCTGAGAGGCTGCTGGGAGGAGCTGCTATTGCTAAAATCTTGAGCTTCTTGAATAAAGCGCATTGTGTTTTAGAAAGGAGAAAACTATGACTCATTCAACTGTGTAGTTAGTGACCTGCTTTTCATGAGCTCCCAGGAAACGCTCTGCACCCAAACCAAGTCAGTTCTGCTCTCCAGAGATTGTTTGATTTGTGTTATTCAAGAGAATTATTTTTCCTTCCTGTCAACTTACAAGGAAGAAATGTCTCAGCACTGGTATAGTGTCAAAGACTTAACAATTGGATATCTGGGGAAAAATACAGATAGGTACATAGACAGATAGACATAAGTTTATTGTAAACTTTACTAATATAAAGAACATGTACAACACAATTTAAAAATAATAACACACAATACTTGTATTAGGGTTCTCCAGAGAAGCAATAGGGAGATTTTGATATATAAGATGGGATTTACTGTAGGAATTGCCTCACACTCAGTTACGGAGGCTGAGAAGTCCCAAGATATGCTGTCTGCAAGCTGCAGAACCAAGAAAGCCAGTGGCGTCGTTCAGTCTGAGTCTGAAGGGCTTAGAATCAGGGTGTAACTCCAAGTCTTGAGAGCAGGGCTGGGATGTAGGGAGTAGAAATGGGGGGTGCGAGGGTGCTAGTGTAAGTCCTGGCATTTGAAGTCCTGAAAGCCAGGAGCTCTGATGTCTAAGGGCGGGAGAAGGTGATGTTTCAGCTCAAGAAGAGAAGGAGAATTTGCTCCTCTTCTTTCTTTTTGTTTTCTTGAGGAGGGCTCTCAGTGGATTGGGTGATGTCTACCACACTGGTGAAAGTGAATCGTTTTTACTCCATCTAAGAATTTACATGTTCATCTCTTCCAGAAGCACCCTCACAGACACACCCAGAAAAAATGATTTGCCAGCTATCTGGGTATCACTACACCCAGTCACTTTGACACATAAAATTACCCATCGTAATACCATTTACGGTAAATTTTATACAGCCAAGTGAGACTCACAAAAGGCTTTCATTGATTGCTGCTGAAACTTTGAATATGTAGCCAATCTATGTGAGCAGCTGACAAACAGCTGGAGCTCTGGCATGAATGTTGGTTGATATTTTCATTTAAGTGAATACGTAAGACAGAAGTGAAACAATAAAGGTATGTAGGAAGTTTACTCTTTCATCAATGATATGCAGCTTCTTTGCAGAATTGGGTAATAGTTTTTGAGTACTAGAAGAATACTTCCTCAACTTTTTGTGCTATTCACCATGTAATGGCATGGACAAAACATACTGTTAAATTTAATCTGCATTATTAATATTTTTCCATCATGTTCTTAAGTCAAGATACCAGCAAAACAATGAATCACCCTCAGGTTTCTAGCACTTGTCCATTTCCGTAGTGTAAATACTCACACCACAACTGATGTCACATGACCAACACGACATCACTGAATGCAGCTGAGAAGAGATGGACACCATTCTGCAGTGTCTCCGTCTGCCATGTAGCTACCATAGCTGCTAATAACCTCAAGAGTATGTGTAATGGTAGAATATAGTAAAATAATCTGGAAGCAATGAGTTTTGAGTATTCGTTTCCTTTTCATTTTTTAATTAATTAATTTACTCACCTACTTTGAGAGATGGGGTCTTGCTATATTGCCCGAACTCCTAGGTGCAAATGATCCTCCCGCCTCAGCCTCTACCGAGTTAATGGGGACTACATGCATGCCTTTGTTTCCTTTTTGAGGATATAATTTATTTAATTATAAATCCATAAAATTTAATTTTAATAATGGCTGTATTTAACAACTGACCCACAAAACTTCTAAAATTTTAACAATTGTCTCTCTTGAGCTGGTTGTAAACCAGCTCCAGTGCACCCCTGTGTCTTAGTGGTGTCCTGTCCTGTCTTCACAGCTGATTTTGAAGTTTCAGGCTCTTTGCCTCTTTCATCCTTTCTAAAGGCAGTGGTGTGAAATAGACAATTAAGGCCTAGGAGGGATCCACAACAGTACCTCATCTAGATACCAGAGCATCACAGAAGACTTAGCAATGTAGCACAGACACATGAATACTTAAATTCTGACCTATTGCTAGTAATAGGTATACACATAGCACATCAATGATGCTGGAACAGATTGAAGAGGTCACTTTAATTCAGCCTCTCACCCTCCTTAATAAATGCCCTCCTTCTGTAACCCCATCATACAATCTGTTATTAACCTATACAGAATAATTTTTAAAAATGGCCAGTCATGGTGGCTCATGCCTGTAATCCCAGCACTTTGGGAGGCTGAGGTGGGAGGATTGCTTGAGGCCAGGAGTTCATGACAAGCCTGGGCAACATAGCAAGACCCTATCTCTACAAAAAATTTAAAAAACAATTAAAAAATTTATGAAGAATAATAAAAATAAAATAGCACCATGGTATTTTGAGAATAAAGTAATTAGTAAACCATGTACTCTCTCCCTCTATTTGACAGGGATCCCAACAGAGTATGCTCTATACTATTGGTATGATCATTTGGAGGATAATACACACTGACAAGCTAGTAAAACTATATATGGACTCTGTCTCACCTTAAACCCTTAGCTTATAGAAATATACTAGCTGTACACATAATAACATCTATATATGGCCAGGAGTGGTGGCTCACACCTGTAATCCCAGCACTTTGGGAGGCCAAGGCAGGTGGATCACCTAAGGTCAGGAGTTGGAGACCAGCCTGACTGACATGGTGAAACCTCGTCTCTACTAAAAATACAAAAACTAGCCAGACATGGTGGCAGATGCCTATAATCCCAGCTACTTGGGAGGCTGAGGTGGAAGAATCACTTGAACCCAGGAGACGGAGGTTGCAGTGAGCCGAGATTGCACCAATGCACTCCAGCCTGGGTGGCACAGTGAGGCTCCATCTCAAAAAACAAAAAACAAAACAACAACAAAAAAAACTATATTTTTTTAATCTCCCTTCCCCAAAACTGCCATGCCATGTCACACGACTGTGGTTTTGCTGAGGTTGTTCCTTCGTCCTGCAGATCTCTTCCTTTGTCACTACCTGTCAAATCAAGGTCCAGATCCAACAAAATTCTTCCTGTTCTCAGGAGGCACAAGCTGTTCTTCACCACCATGGCCCTCTAACCTCCAGCACTCTAATGGAACACTGCTACTTTCTGCCAGGAGTTATAATTATTCGTGAGCTCCTAGAGGACAGGGATCATCCTGTTTTATCTTTCAACCTTGCTCTCAGGGTCTCGCACAGTGAGATCAATGACATAGTCATCCTGGCCACAGGGAAGACATACTAGTGATGTGTTACTTGGATGCAGCTATGACTCAGATGATGTGCCAAGCTTGGCTATAAACATGCAGCAAGCACACCAGCTTCTCCCTCTGCATTCTCAGCAGAGCCTGACTTCAAAAAATCACCAAAAGGAAACTTCAATCACCTGAAGTTTCTAAAAGATAAATAAGTAATGTTCAGACCACAGTTGCTCTCCAAAGGGACAGAATCCACTGCCTGAACTTGTACCATGGCCTTGAGGTGCACTCCCAGCTGTCTGCATCATGATATGGCCGGTGTCCCTGTCAATGTGCACAGGATGAGAAACTGAAGCTCCTGTTGATGAGAATCAATAACAGCAGTAATAATCTTGCCCTGGTCTGCACGAGGCAGCCCCAAAGGGGAGTCCAGCCTCATAAACTCTGCAGGAAGGTGGCCTGGCTCCATCGTTTGCCAGCTGTGTGACTGGTGCAAGTTGCTCAACCTCTCCACCAGCTTCCTCAACTGCAAAGTGAGAATCATAAGCATGCCACTCTTATAAGGTTATTGTGAGGATTTAATAAGTTAATATACGAAGAGTGCTTAGAACTGTGCCTGGGATAAATCTTCAATGAATGGTAGTTATTATTTATATTAATAATGACAACAACAAATATTATTAGAAGAAAAACATTTCTAGTGGCCTCTTCTGTTGCAGGAGGAGAAGAGGGGAGAGGAGGGGATAGGAGAGCAGGGAGGACTGGGAATGTGGGAATATGGTTTCTAGGCCTGGCTCTATGATTATGTAACTCTGTGACCAGAAGCTAAATCACGTCCTCCTCTCTCTGGACCTCAATTTCTTCCTCTGTGATATGAGGTCGTTGGACTAGATTAGAGTTTCCTAAACTGAGCTAAGCATCAGAATATTCTGGGAAGGCTTTTTAAAAATCTAGGTTCTCAGGCCCCACTTCTAGTTTACTGAATTGGGCTCTGAGACTGTGGATACCAGGAATAGTATTTGTTTTTAAGCTTCTTTGGTGAGTCAAATGCAACTAGTTAGTGCTTAGGAGCCATTGGATTCAACCAAAAACTCCAGCCTCAGGGTTTTTTTACTTACTGTTCCCTCTGCTGGGAAAGCTCTTCCCCTCAATGTTTCTTTGACTCAGCCTCTCATTCATACTACTGCACAAATGTCACCTCCTCAGAGAAAACCCTTCTGATCATCCTATGTAACTCTCCAGCCACTCTCCAACCTCTTAATGTGACTCATTCCTCCCTGTAGCACTTCTTACCATGTGCCTTGGTTGGCTGGTCATTCTCCTTGCTCCCTAGACTGTAAACTCCATGAGGGCAGGGATTGAGTTTTGTCCACCACTGCATCCTAGCAACTCTGGTATAGTGCCTGGTTCCTAAGTGGCACTTAATAATTCAGTTTTGAATTAACTAATGAATAGCTGAATGGATTGGATGAATGAATAAGTGTGCATCCACTTTGCCTCTGCCTGTAGGTCAGAATGTGGAGCTAGCCGACAGCAGCAGGGAGGTGAAGGGAAGCAGACAGCGTGCTCAGTAGAGAAACTCATGGAGAGTCTTTCCTCCTGGGAGACGTTCTAGAGTACAGCTCAAAGCCTCTCACTGTGGCTCAGCCTTCAGGGATCCCTGAAGTTCCCCAGGATTGTGGACTATGCTTCTGCTATTCCTGAGGCGATTCTCCAAGGGAGAGGTTTTTAAATCTAGCTGTCTGCCTCAGAGCTATGTTTTGGGGTTTCATAGCACTCAGATTTTCCAGGTGCTTACATTTAGGGAGGATGATGACAAACTTCTCAGCAGTCACTTTCTGGAGGGGTGGGGAAGCTTTCCTGATCTCCATTATAGAACAATATACACCAAGAGACATGATGTCATTTAAAAAGGTGTTTTAAAAAGGTGTTTGAGCTGGAAAATGTTTCCAAAAGTATTTTAGGGGGTTCATAAATGATTAATAAAATTTATAGAGGTGGGTTATTATCTTAAAAATAGAGTATATATGAAATACTTTTGAAGGTAAGATTTTATGGGCTAGCATTATATTTCCAGATTTCTAGGCCTTTAAAACATAAATATGCTGATCAGAGCTTTAAAAGAAAAAGTCCATTTTCCCATCACATTTTGTTTGCACAATTGGGATGTGGAAACTAGACACATAGATTCTGAGGTATTTAACTCATCTGTTCAATTGTTGGCCCTACCAATCAGAAATGATCAGCTTAAATATCATATCAGCATCTGTAATTTTGACTGACTTGCCAAACATCAAAACTCTCTTTTTGCCCTCTGAATAGTATTTTTTCAAAACTTTGGGGAAAATAAATAAGTCAGATAATTTATGATGTGAAAGAGCACACCTTTCCAATATTAGAGAATATTCTCTCAAGACTTAGTTGCACTGATTAAGTTTGGGCAACGTTAAGTGGATGAAATTTTTCAACAGAACATATCAGCCTTTTTCATATGTTAATGTGCGTGTGATTTTCCTGCAGGAAAAAATCAGACATAACATTTTCCAAAATATCTGATCAGGAAACTCTGTAGACCCAGACTGCCATTTATCCTCTTGTGGAGCTAGCATTCCTCAGAACACAGATAGGAAATGCTGGTCTAGTAAGGACAACTAGTGGACTGGCTTGAGTTTTTAGAAAATACGGTTTGTTGTTTGTTTGTTTGTTTGTTTGTTCATTTGTTTTTGTTTGTTTGTTGAGGAAGTTGGAAGACAAGTGTTATAAGAATTGCCCAGTGATTTTTCTAAATTCAAGATATGATTCCTGCCCTCTGTAAGCACATGAGAAATGAAAGAGATGGCACAGATGTGTTCTTGGTATGGATGGCCGGTTTAACAAAAGTACCTATGGGTAAAAATCTACTTTTGGCCATGATGGAGTAAACTGGTATTGGATGTGCCTTCCACCACAAGCAATGATTAAACAGGACAAAATATCTGAAGCAATTATTTTCAGGCATAGAATAATGGACAGCAGAGGTGTGATCCTCGAAAGAAGGGAAGCCCATGAAGTGAGCCCTGCATGCCATCTGGCTTTCCATCCGTGGACAGTTACCAGGTCACCGTGCAAGGAGGGGGCGCACAAGCAGAGGACGGTGAGCATGTTTAGTGGAGGAGGCAGAGATTGGAGCTTGGGAGTGCGGGAGTGGTGGAATCTGCAGGGCAAGGTACCCGAGGAGAAGTATCTGTGCAAGAAGGTTGCCGGAAGTTTGTATCAGGCAGTCCTCCAGGGTTCTTGGCTGAGAACAGGACTCTACATGCACAGGGTAAAACTCCACTAGGCCTATTAGAGAACAGATATAATGGGGATGAAACCTGAATAGAAACACCAGAGGTCCTGAGGGTTGGGAGACTTTGGAATGCCAGCCAAGCAGAGGGGAGACACTTAGGTGAGCACCTCACACCGCAAATTCCATGCCTTAGGAAAAAGGACTGTGCCATAGGATAAGAAATAGACCCATGCTAAAAGAAACCTTAACACACCTTCCACAATGCTGAGGTAAATCATCAGTAATTTAACTGCCTGTTTAGCAACTGTACTGGCACCCCTTGCTAGTTCAATAAGGTGGAATAAAAAGGGTAAAGATTGGACAGAAAGAAGTAAAAGTTTCTTTATCTGCAGATCATGTGAATATATATACATACATTAAATACTAAGAGATACATAAAGCCACTGTTAGAACTAGGTAGGGAATTTAGCAACAGAACAAGCTACAAGGTTAAATACACACATGTCAATTCTATTATGACATACTAACCACAAACAATTAGAAAGTAAAATTTCAAAATGTCATTTGCAATGGCATCAAAATACATAAAATATTCAGAAGTAAGTTAGACAAAAGATGTGCAAGACCTCGCCAGTAAAAATTATACAATCTTGCTGAGAAAAATAAGGGAAAACAAATAAATAGAAAGAAATAGCATATTCATTCATTGAAAGGTTCAATATTGTTAAGGCATTAAATTTCCCTCTTACTAAACTAATTCACAGACTCAACACAACCAATCAAAATCTTAACAAGCTTTTTGTAGAAATTGAGAAGTTGATTCTAAAATTTATATAACAATGCAAAGGATATCTAACATGGCCAAAAGAATCTTCAAAAAAAGAGCAAGATTCAAGGGGCCCCAATATCTGATTTCAAGACATTAAAAAATATACAAAAATCATAGCAATGTGATATTGGCATGAAGACAGACCAAAAAGAAAAAAAATAGAATAGAAAGCTCAGAAATAGAACCACACAGATACAATCAGCTGATCTATGATGCAGGCATCAGAGCAGTTAACGGGGAAAAGGAAAGTCTATCAAATGGTTCTAGAAGTACTGGATAAATGTTGGGAGAAACATAAGCCTCAATCTTTGCCTCATACCATACATATAAAATTAATTGAGATGAATTATCAGTTCAATCACAAAATTTAAAATTAAAGAGCTGCTAAAAGAAAACACAGAAGAATGTCTTTACAACCTTGGAGTAGAGCAAAGATTACAGATTTTTTCTGTATCCCAAAGATGAGACACAGAAAACACTAACTATAAAATAAAAATGTGAAAACTTAGACTTCATCAAAATAATAAACTTTTGCTCATCAGAAAGACCCCTTAGGAAAATGAAAATGAAAGCCATAGGCCAAGAGAAAATATTTGCAATACCTGTGTATTAGAAGATAGTTTATCCAGAAAAGGTAAAGAATATTTGCAAATTAATAATAATATAAACTAATAAAAATGGACAAAAGACTTCAATGAAGTTTCATGAAAGAAGATATGGGAATGGTAAAAGCATACAAGAAAAGAGTTCAACATCAATAGTCATCAGAGAAATGCAAGTTAAAACCACAATGAGATGACTACTAAATACGCATCAGAACAGCTACATTTAAAAAGACTCACAACATCAAGTCTGTAAGGAGGCAGAACAACTGAAACTCATTACATTGCTGTTAGAAGTGTAAGGTGGTAGAACCGCTTTAAAAAACTGTTTAGCAGTTTCTTAGTTTCTTACAAAGTTAAAGATACATCTAATCTATGAGCCAGCATTTTCACTCCTAGATAATGACCGAAGAGAAATAAAAACATATGCCCACAAAAAGTCTTATCCAAGAATGTTTATAGCAGCTCTATTCATAATAGTCCGAAACTGGAAACAACCCAGATGTCCATCAACACAAGAATGGATACCCTGTGGTATAGTCATACAATGAAATGTTACTTACAAATAAAAGAGAATGAACTACTAATACACTCAATCAACATCATGGATGAATCTCAAAAAGTAATATTTTGAGTGAAAAGTGCCAGATACAAAACTATTCATACCGTTTGATACCATGTATATGAAATTAAAGAACAGACAAAACGAATCCATAGTAATAAAAATCAAAACAGTGATTGCCTGGGGAGGGTAGTATTGACTGGATGGAGGCAGCAGACTTCTGATGTGATGGGAATATTGTATCTCTTCATTACTATGTGGATTAATGGGATGTGATACACCCAACTGTACTCTTAAGATCTTTGCATCTCATTGTATGCACAATTTTACCTCAAAAAAGTAGCGGGAGTAGTGATGGGGAAGGAGAGCATGAGATGGTAGAGAAATAAAATTAAATTATCCTTTACTTGCAGGTGTGCATACACAACCACCACTGCTACCACCGTGCATGCACGCACACACACACACACAGAAAGAGGCAATGTAAATACGTGTAAGTGCATTCATTGTGAACGGGGCCAGTGTTGCACAGAGCATCATATGCTTTAGGTCCGTTTGAATAACTGTCTTCAAATCTCATTATAACAAAGATCTTTCCTCTATTCATTTTCTGTCTTTCTTGGGCTTTATTACCGAAATACCCACACACGTCTAAAAAGAGAGGAAACAGAAACATTAATTTTAAATTTCACACTTCTCAGAATCCAAGACAAATTATTCCTTGTTGACATTTTAAAATTTCATTTCCTGCCACAATTCTTTTGGGTAAGGAAACTAGAAAAGAAATGACTCTCAACTCCTCCCTTGCTTCCCAAACCTGGCCATTTGATTTGAATCTAGAGTTTGATAGCAGAAAAATATTTTTTTCAAGAATTAAAAATAGCTACTATTCTAAATGTAAGATAGCTCCTTAACTGACTTAGTAGCACCTTCCCATTAAGACCAACCAAGTGATATTCTCAACAATAGCACCTCGTTTCATGACTAAAGTGCACTGGTCACATTAAAATGTAACCACATGGAAATGAATGTCCCCCTTTTCACATCTCTGTCCTTGGTTTCCATAGAAGAGGGCTAATTACCTTTTTAATAGCCCTAATTGATGGGCTTACAGATCCTACCTTTCAGTCCCACTTGTGTGCTGGTGAGAGTGGGGGTGGGGCGGCACTCCATCCTCCTGACCCCTCTGCTCCAGCTCTTCCTTGTTGGAAGGAGGTTTGCTGACTCGTGAAAGGCCCCTGCCTTGTGTTTCTCTGTTTGCAAGACTACCTGCCGCCCATTGTGGGCTGACCAGGAAGCCTTCGCTTTGTCTTGGCCAATTGACACAGCTGCACACTCGGTAAATAGACTCAGATGTTGAGCTTTTGTTTGAAGGATCTTTTCAGATTAATGCAGAGAGAATTAGTTTTTAAAACTTAAGCCGGAGCCAGGATGAGTAGAATGGAGCTGTGAGCCATTGAATTCACATCCACAAAATGAGGCCAACTGTCTTACAAGGGTATTTATCCCCTGTTCCTTTTGGAGGTAACATTGAGGGGAGAGGCTCCCACTCTCCCTGGCCTCAGAGTCTTTACTCAGGTCATTGTGAGGAGAAGAACTGACCAGCAATTACACTCTCCAGCTTCATTCTTCAAAGAGAGATAGTCCAGCCCTTAGTAAGGAGATGCAATTACTGCAAAATGTTTGTCAACAATTGATTTGGGTTTTCTTATTTCCAGATGATAAGAGATTCTGATAAATAATGTAAGAGGATCCATGGCCTCCAGCAAAGACCATTTTAGCAGATATGCAGACAGGGCAGCAGTCTGGACTCAGCACTGATCACCACCTCAGACTCTTCAGCCTTCATTATTTATACCACCCAACCTGTGCCTCACCAACGCACTCATTCGGAACCATTCCCTGTTGAGACACCAGTAGCAGTCACAGGTCTCAATGGATGGCTGGTCTCTTGAGGGTGGGGCCATACCTTGGAGTTCTCCCGTACCTACCATTTCACTTAACACAGGTTGGAATTTTAGTCACAGTTTTGTTGATTAGAAACTATAGGACTTTATTCTTCTCTGAGACTTGCAGACTCCATTTTCTCAAGCTATAAACTGGGGACAATTGCTCTTCTTTGCTAACAGTTCTATGTACTTAGGAGGCAGTTTAATGTTGTGGAAAGAAATTTGACTTTGACTCAGACAGATCTGAGTTCGAATCCTGCCTCTGCCACTTACTAGCTGTGTGATCTTAGACAAGGTCCTCCTCTGAGCGTAGACCTCCTCACCATGACAATCAAGATATGATTGTCCCGTGCCATTGTCAGGGATTGAAAGAGTTTTCTCATTTCTATGTGAAAATGAGAAGCATATCATGTAGAATATTGTAGTATTCCCAATATGTTAGCTCTTGCTCTCCAGGTCTCTGCTTTCCAAAGATTTTTTTTAAGAATAAAAAAGATGGAAAAAGAACCTAGTGAATTATACAGTATGTATATATGAAGCAAGATTCCTTCATGACACAAAGCATGCAATAAATGCTGAAGAACAGCTGTTGGTAGGCACTTCCAGTGCCAACCCTGTCAACCTCTCCTTTCTCTCCTCTCTCTCCAGTGTCTGAGTGACTGTCACCCCACCCACGACCCATGCACACCCTTCCCACCGCTCCCCCAAATACACACTCACTAACAGAAAAAGAACTGCTGACAAAACAGAAGAGGTGAGTCCGAAGGATGCAGGCAGCCATGCGAGGGGAAAACAGGCATCGACATCTGAAAAAGTGACAATTTTCTAAATGTGTAGACAGGGTGGCATGCAACATATTTCCCAAAGGAAAATGGTGGATGTGGGTAGCTTCCTCCTCCTTGTTCTAGGTTATGGGATTTAAAGAAAATGTTTATTCCTCTTTTCCTTTATGGAAAATTAACCAATCTGGGATTCCATCTCCCACATTCTCCCATAAAGCACTTTCTGCTGGAGAGTTGGGACCCCCATGCCCTGCCACAGGCTTGCTGTGGGCTTATGGCCCCCCAGTAGTAAAATAAGAATTGGACTATATGGCCTTACGGACCCCTCCTGAGCCAAGCATCCAGGCTCCTGATTCCCCTGCAGCTTGCTGCAAGGAAGGATGTGAAAGCAGAAAACGTGGGTTTTGAACCAGCTCCAACTATGAGGAAAAACGCTGACGGAGGCGCTGCATTGTGGAAAGCTAGGTCAACCCACAGGTTAGGTCAGATTTCAAGTTCTGATCAGCACGCCTCTAGACTCTAAGAAATTAACACTGGAAAATAGGCCTCTGCTTTGGGAGATAATTAGTGAAAATATGGTTGATTGAATTTTAAAGGATAAAATATAGCTTCAAACTGTAGCCTGGTGTCGCTTTCTTTTATGACATAGAAAAGAGAAACTTCTCCTTCTGATAGCAGACTCCTCCATGGGAAGAACACTGGAATGGGAATCAGAAGAAATGGGCCAGGCGCGGTGGCTCACACCTGTAATCCCAACACTGTAGGAGGTCGAGGCAGGAGGATCACCTGAGGTCACAAGTTCGAGACCAGCCTGACCAACATGGTGAAACCCCCTCTCTACTAAAAATACAAAAATTAGCTGGGCCTAGTGGCGCATGCCTGTAATCCCAGCTACTCAGGAGCCTGAGGCAGGAGAATTGCTCGAACCCGGAAGGCAGAGGTTGCAGTGAGCCGAGATTGAGCCACAGCACTCCAGCCTGGGCGACAGAGTGAGACTCCATCTAAAAAAACAAAAAGAAGAAATGCACACGCCAGACTTGTGCAAATCACCCAACCTCTCTGAGCCTCAGTTTATTTCTCCGTAATAGGAGATGGAATCCCTCCCCAAGCTCTTCTCTTCCCACGAAGAGAAGGGTGCTACAAAGAAATAGAGGTTCGCTGTTGCTATGTTTCCTGCCTGTCCTGATCCTCTCTATCGCGTGTTCATGTTCCTTGAACAATGTTGGCACTTCCCAGTAGGCTCACGTGGGAAGTGTCAGCACCAGGAACTTTGCCATGAAATGCACATAGAGATGGAAGGCGATTGGGAATACCATTTGAGAACACTGAAGCAGGGTGCACTGAAGACAAGCACGTTGTGGTGAAAGGAAAAGGATGTACCAGGAGATGTGAAGGGAGCCTTGATACCAGCGCATTCCACCTGCCTTGCTTTTGTCGTCAGGTTTAAAGAAGGCAGTGAAGGGGCCCCAGGCTGAGAGGCAGGAGGCCTGGGCGCTGATTTCGCCTCTCCCTGCTTTTGGGCCTCAGTCTCTTCGTCTGTAAGAAGAACGGGCCATCTCTCTCCAACATGCCAAATTGCTCCAGAAATCAGCTTCGTGTTTTTCCTCCTCATCCCGGGTTCTTGAGCCTGATTTCAAAAACGACGAATTAGAAAATCATAGTCTCTGAGGAACCACCTTTGGTTTTGAGGCTTTTAGCTTAAAGCTCAGTTTCTAAATCTTACTCAGGTGGTCAGGCCTGATTCCTGCTTGGCTCAATCTGCCTAGAGGTAGGCAAAGGCGGCTGTGGTAGGAGACCAGGAATAATCACAGTGTAAGGCTGGATTGGTGTGTCCTCTGGTCATGGGAAGCCTTCAGAGCTGGGCTGGAATTTCAGCGGGTCTTCAGGGGTGCACAGGTAAAGTCTTGGTGGACGAGCATTCTAGGCAAAAGCCATGCCGGTTCATGGTGCTGTGTACTTCAGACTGTTTAGTAGATTCCCCGCTACAAAAAATAGTCCTCGGCCGGGTGCGGTGGCTCACGCCTGTAATCCCAGCACTTTGGGAGGATGAGGCGGGCGGAGAGCCTGAGGTCAGGAGTTCGAGATTAGCCTGGCCAACATGGAGAAATCCCGTCTCTACTGAAAATACAAAAATTAGCCAGGCATGGTGACGCGAGCCTGTAATCCCAGCTACTCAGGAGGCTGAGGCAGGATAATCGCTTGAACCTGGGAGACGGAGGTTGCAGTGAGCCGAGATCGTGCCACTGCACTTCAGCCTGGGCCACAGAGGGAGACTCCATCTAAAAAAAAAAAAAAAAAAAAAGTCCCCTAAGTGTACAGTGACATTTATGGCATGCTCACTCACAGGGAAGGGTGAGACAGCAGTTCTTTCATGATTGACATTTTTGAGCTGACCGCAGCTCTGCTGCTTTCAACGTTTGCCCCAGGGTCATCTTTGCTCTCCCCAGGCCACCAGTGAGAGCAGAGCATGGAGATGGCCTGTGTCACTGTTCCCTTGGCCCAAACACCATTAGCTGGAAGTCTGTCACGCAGCCACATCTAACTGGAAAGGGGACTAGAAAGTATAATCTAGTTGTGGACCCAGGAAGCCCGTGACAGTGGGGATTCTAGGGAACTGCCAGCTATCTCTGCCAGTCAGGACCATTTATTTCAGGCTGGGCTCCTTCTGAATAGAAAAGCAGCCGGAGGCCCAGGCGAGGCAAGTGAGGGAGGAAGGGAGCAGCCGTCAGCCTGCAGTGCACTCAAGCCAGCCTCACTTTTTGGGTAAAGCCAATTTCACTCCAGTAGATACAGAGGCCTGGAACCCCTGGATAAGGAGGCCTCCACATTTCTCCCTGTCTATGAGAAGGTGAGAGAGAAGGTTCAAGAAGGCTTTTTCACAAGCAAACCATCAGGCCCCCCAGGGTGTAATTTGGAAACCCCCTGGCTTTCCCTGGCTTTCCCTGGCTTTGCCCTCGGCCCTTGGTCCCTCCTCCTACCCTGTTTTCAGCCCATTTCTCTAGGCATGCACCAGTGGCCAGGACTACCACGTTGCCTGACACCTCGGCTCGGTGCCTCGCCTGTGGGCCACTTTGGGCCGGAGCTACTGATGGGAGCTGATTCAAGAGCCTGGCCCAGCCCTGTGGCTTTGATGGGCTTTCATCCTCCCGCCTGCGCTCCTTGGCTGGACGCCTGGGGAGCTGCATAGCCTTGCCCCGGGCTATCTGCTTTCAGTGGGAGAGGTCCTTCTCTCTGAATACAGGAGGACCCGGAGGTGAGGAGGTGAGACTTGGGCACTCTCGTCTCTGCAGCCTGAGAGCTGAGCCTGCGCCAAAGCCATCTGCCTTCACCCAGCTTTCCCAAGGAGCAGACAAGATAAAGGACAGACGGAATGAACACTGAACAACTTGTTAATGATTTTATTGCAGGTTAAATCAAATGTCTCCAGTAAAACTACAGGAGAACTGCTTTAACCTTACCCTGCTGTAAATATGTATTAACTCAATTACTATCAGCAATTAAGGCCTAGTTTGGGAACACTGGTCTGAGACAAAAAAGACATTATCATCCTGGGAAATGAATCCAGAATAAAAGGAATTTATTCCACCTGAGCTAATGAGCAGCTGTATGGGGATGGAAATGAAGGCCTTTGCCTCGGAATTGCTTTTGACCGTTCATACAGGGAGAGGAGAAAAGGTTCGCCTTTACGTAAAGCTCTTGGAAGCACATTAGGGACATTGTTACAATGCAAATGAGGAAGACCGTTGTGTTTGGGTGGTTTATGGGTTTAGTAAAAGGAGTAACATTTCAATTAGTGGGGAAGGAATGAGAACCTGCCTCAAAGAGGCTTAATTGGCAACTTGGCTTTCCCAGGGGGCTTTGAAGTAGCATCAGAGAAGGAAAGTTTTCAGAGATGGGTGGAGAATAGAGCAACTATAGGGCCCTTGCTGTGCCTGTGAGAGGGCAGATGGGGTGCTCAGAAGGTAAAACCCACAGCACTACACAAATCCCAGCCCCGCGCGAGCGCCCGCTCCAGTCTTCCGGGCTTCTGAGTGGTTTTCTCCACGCCGCTTCTCCCAGCTCCCCCCTGAGAGCGTCAGGACCCAGCCGTTTCTAAAGCAGGCAGCCTCCACGAAGCCATCTCGCTTCAAAGGCTGCAGCCCTAACCTCACCAGTGTGGAATTCCTTTTTTCCTTCTCAAGAGCCCCTGTTGCTGGGTCTCGAAGTTTAGTCCAGCAAACTGGGGAATTCAACTCCTAATTGCAGTGAGTTATGGGGGAGGGTGCAATATTGCATACAAATGTGTATTTTCTGTGCATGTGTGTTCAAGGACTACAAAGTCTGAAGACTGAGGATTCAAGTATGATCGTACCTTAGGGCAAGGGATTGCACAGGTGACTCGTCAAGGTGGGGCTCTCAGATTTCACAAGTCGCAAAGGCATCCAGATCGACATTATCCTACGGTCTCGTCTTTCCTAGCCGTGGCATCCTCATGAGGTCTTTGTCATGTAATTCATGCTCACAAGTCACTCAAATCTTCATGCATCTTGACTGATTTGAGGTTTTACTTCTTAATTCAGTCATTCACAGGGTATGGCAAACTTTTTGTTTTCTAACATGGAGGAACTCTCCAAAGGAAATGTTACAGATAATATGCCAAGATAATCGTTTGCAATGAAGTCTGGAAGAAAATTCAGCTAACCCTGTGTTTTAGCTGCAAGAGAGCAATCTGACCAGGGGTTTGGAGAGCTGTCCAAACCAAGCCTCTAAGTGGTATGCTGGTCTTTCTGAGCTTGAGAAAAAAAGAATGAAGAACTTCCAAGTGACTCCACCAGTCCCTCGGTTCTCTTGATGTTGACTTTGGGGAGAACGAGTTCAACACCCTTCCCATATGCGCATCTGTGAACGTGGATTGGATTTTGCTTGAGATCTTAGCACTGAACCCTGAACTAAAGGAGGCACTATGCCTCCATCTGAAGCAATCAGTCCCCAAAGCACAGGACTCTGAGCCAGGCTCTCTCCCTTCATCCTCCCCTCTCCTGCGGGTGGCTTCTCCTGGAACACTGGCTCATATCTCTGGAGCCTGTGGTTTGGGGATTGCCATTAGCCAACTACAACAGAGCCTGGAGAGTTTACTTTGGGTCTAAAATGGGAACTGGACCCACTCTCTGAGTAATGCTCATCACTCAGCAGGTCTCAGCCGGTGGCCTACAACTTTACAATTGACCCCTCTTCCCACCACCGTGGGTTGCTGTGTAGAGCAATCACTTCCCTCCTAAGCCTCATCTCCTGCTGCCTCCTCAAAGTTGCGATGGTTAGAAAACATGGCATCTGTATGCACCCTGCACGTTCTTGCATGCCAGGAAAGCTGAGCCACCATGCAGTCGCATGGCATGTCCGATCCGTCATGCCACTGTGAGGAAACAGGACGAGGACCAGAAAATCAGCACAGCAACATAAGTTCCTGACTGCTGCTGTGAGTGGACCGGAGATGCTGCACCAGTGACCCAGTCACTGCAGCAACTAGAAGCTGGGATTGACTGGATGCCTTGGGACAGCACAGAATCCATTTCAAGTGCTGAAAAGGACCTTAATAATATTCTAACCAACATACGGATGGGAAACGGAGGCCCGGAGAGGGAAGATTCCTACCCGGGTGCCTGCAGGGAGAGAAGGGCAGAGCTGAGACCCAAACCCAGGTGGGGGTACTGAGGCCAGTGCCCCCTTCTAATATGACTGAATCTCAGCTTCACTTTCCAGTGTGTTTTTGCCTTGGCGAGGGTGGAAATGAGTTTCCAAAACTCTGCAAAGAGAGAGGTATGCGGAGGGGCCAGACAAAGCCCGTGAGCATTTACCATAGATCTCTCTAAAATGGATAATCAATCAAGACGTTGTTGTATACTCTTGCCTCCTTGAGGGAGCATCTTGTGTACTTTCTCCTTGTTCCTCAGACCCCTTCACTATAACCAAGGTTGCCTCTGTGGTGAGTTCGTTAACGCTCGGGAGAAAATTCTCACATTAGAGCATTATTTTCAAAATGCACTCTTCAATGTCCAAAATATTTCCATTCCCAATATCTCACAGTCTTTTTTATTTTTTTATTTTTTCTATAATTTCAACTTTTATTTTATATTCAGAGGGTACGTGTGCAGGTTTATTACCTGGGTATATTGCAAGATGGTGAGGTTTGGGGACACAATTAACCCTGTTACCCAGGTACTGAGCATAGTACCCAATAGTTCGTTTTCCAACCCTTGTCCCCCTCTCCCCCTCCAGTAGTCCTCAGTTTCTATTACCGTCTTGATGTCCACGAGTACCCAGTGTTTAGCTCCTACGCCTAAGAAACAATATGCAATATTTGATTATCTGTTCCTGCATTAATTTACTTAGGATAACAGCCTCCAGCTGCATCCATGTTGCTGCAAGGACATGGTTTCACTCTTTTTATGGATGTGTAGTATTCTATGGTGTATATGTACCACATTTTCTTGATCCAATCTACCAGTGGTGGGCACCTAGGTTGATTCCCTGTCTTTGCTATGTGAACAGTGCAGCAATTAACATATGAGTGCATGTTGCATAACCTTTAAAGGCAAAAAGACATGCTCTATTATCCCATTTTTACAAAGAGGAAATGGGTTTTCAAGAGGTAAAGTAACTTGCCAAAAGCCACGCTCCCCACAAGTGGCTCATACAGACCTAAAGCCAAGTCTAGATCGAAGTCCAACACTTTGCAGAATTCTAGCTTCCAGCAGGAAACAACCTGACTTAGACAATACCTCATTATTTACTTCTCCTCTCTGGGGACAATGAAATTAATGTTCCTTTGAAACATGAGAGTTTGGATAGATGACCACATGTACTTGTCACCACCTCCTCTTCTCTCCTACACCTGGTGTACAGGCAAGGCTTTGAAGAATATAGTGAGTCATTGCAGTCCCCCATCCCTCTTTCAAAATTCCCTGCAGCCGATGAGACCGCTGTCCACACTCACAAACTTACCCTCCCCATTGAGAGTCTGGCATCATCGACGTCTCTCTCAGAGCCTGCCTACAGAGGGGCTGGCCATTGTTCTTGGATAGATGGCTAGACCTTTCAGCCTTCTGTTTTAAAGAAACAGGATGTGGCCAGGCGCAGTGGCTCATGCCTGTAATCCCAGCACTTTGGGAGGCTGAGGCGGGCGGATCACCTGAGGTCAGGAATTCGAGACCAGCCTGGCCAACATGGTGAAACCCCATCTCTACTAAAAAATACAAAAATTAGCCGGGTGTGGTGGCAGGCACCTTAACCCCAGCTACTTGGGAGGCAGAGGCAGGAGAATCATTTGAACCTGGGAGGCGGAGGTTGCAGTGAGCCGAGATCAAGCCATTGCACTCAAACCTGGAGGACAAGAGCGAGGAAAAAAAGAACAAGACATGAGAAAACACGTCAGGCAATCTGGGGTTATGCAGAGGCGATAAAGTCTCTTCATCAATTTTGCTACTTGGGAGTTTCTTCTGGAACATATGAGAAAAGAAGTGAATAGCTAAAGGTGGAAAAGATGAGCTAAGCCAGAGTGTTCACTCCCTGGACTAGAGTCTCGCCAGTAAAGTAGATAACAGAAAATATTTCAAAGATGAGACAAGCAGCAAATAAACCACTGAGAGAATAAAAAATGACTTCCTCCCAAATTTCTTCCCCCCTAAAAATACAAAAGATACAAGATATGTGGTTTTTTTTTTTTTTTTTTTTTTTGAGACGGAGTCTGGCTCTGTTGCCAGGCTGGAGGGCAGTGGCGCGATCTCGGCTCACTGAAGCCTCCGCCTCCCAGGTTCAAGCGATTCTCCTGCCTCAGCGTCCTAAGTAGCTGGGACTACAGGCATATGCCACCACACCCAGCTAATTTTTTTGTACTTTTAGTACCTTTGTACTTTTGTACCATGTTGGCCAGGATGGTCTCCATCTCCTGACCTTGTGATCTACCTGCCTCGGCCTTCCAAAGTGCCGAGATTACAGGCATGAGCCACCGCACCCAGCCCTCATGTGTGCTGCTTATATCTGACATAGGAGACATTGAACTCACACTCCGAATCTTGAGATATTAAAAGTTTTAAGAGATAAATGAGTTCCTCTTAGACAATTATACCTTTATGTCTGCCAGACTCAAATGGGATTTTCTGTAGAATCGTATGGTATATGAAAATCTTCTTTTATTGCAGCCGTTGGAGATGTGTGTGAGTATGTGTGTGTGTACATGCATATTATGCATGAAATTTTGTATCTTCGTTCAAGCTGTCACCCATCTCTCATCTGGAAAATGGCAATGGGATTAAAAGTGCCCCTGGCCTTGAGCCAACCTCTGCCAACTGTGTCTAAGATGCACATCTCACCACTTCCTCCCTTTGGCTGACACCTGCCCAGAGCTCCCCATTGTCCACCTGATAGAGTCTACCCTCCATAGACATAAAACCCCCAGTCCTTCTTCAACCCTCCATGCTCATCATTTCCTGCCTCACAGTTTATGTGCCAAGCAACACGGGGCTCTTCCTAGTTTCCTGCCCTGGTGTCTTTTCTCCTCCATAACCTTGCTTATGCTAGCATCTCTTCCAGGACCCAACATGCTTCTCCCACCTGGACCCCTATTCTCCTACAATGCCCTGGGTGTATCTGTAACTAGCACTTAGAATCACCTGTTCTGGTGTCTGTGTCTGCCACTAAACACACAATGTATGAAGAATATCATACATCAAAAACCACCCAAATCTTAAGTATACAACCAGCCAAATGTTTTCAAATTTCAACCAGCACCCAGAACAAAAAGCAGCCACTATATTTTTGAGGTCAGAGGCTGAGTTTTGTTCATCTTTGTAACTTTAGCACCATGACCAGTAGCTGGCATGCAGTATGTATGGTACCAAATGGTTGTGGAATTAATCAATGAATGGTTATTTCACTGTCTTTTCCTTCTGTTTCACTCATTTACGTTTTCTAACTATTCTCACTTTACCTAAGTTGACCAACAGGATAATTCAGGATTTCTCGCCCAGGCTTTGAGAGCTTGAGTTCTGAATGCTGAGGGTTGTGAAGGAATGTTGGTAGTTAGGGGAAGAAGCATGGGGAGCAGCTTGGCTGCTGACCACCAAACCTGGATAGGCAACTTGGTAAGATCCAAGACTCAGCCATAAGTGAAGATAAAAGTCTTTTCTCTTCATAAACTTCAAGCTATAATCTCAGCTGCCAAAGCATGTCACAGTAACTACCTCAATTAAGAATCAATGAAGAGATCACTAAAGAATAGAACATTTTAGCCTTTTTGCATTACAGCTAAGAAAAGGGAACAGGTAGCATTCATTTTTTCCACACTCAGCCTCTGGTGCCAGGTACCAGCATCGCCTTAAGTTGACAGCTGGCCCACACCTGAGGAGCAAAGGGTCTATTCTCCCTGCTTTCCATGTAAGCAATCATAGGAGGTGTACTATAAAGAGAGTGCTCCCTAAATATTAATGCCCCCATCCACACGCTTCTCTGAAAAGTCCACATTAGGAAGTAGTAAACGTACCATTTAGTTAGCATGTACTATGTGCCAGGCATTTGATAAATAGCCACTTGCACACATTACCACATTTATTCTTCATAACTACTCTCTCAGGTGAGTGATATTATCCGCATTTAACAGGTGAGAAAATTGAGCAATGGAAGCTGGGGTGTGACCTCATATCTTTGATTCCAAACCTATAGTAACTACTCTATTATAAACAAACTATATAACTTGCTTCCTCGTGTCCCTGCAACTGATGAGAAGACCAGTAGTGTCGAGGTTGAGAAACCCTTCTCAGAGGACTCCCCAGAACGAACCTGGGAACTTCAGACAGACTGGGTGGGCCTCCAGCCGGGCCTCGCAGCAGAATCAGGACGGGTCTGTCTTGCTGGCATGCCTCACATTCTCAATCTCACTGCTGGAAACCCAGATTCAATATTACCTGAGGCCGAAGCCTGAGTTCTTATGGTAAATTTTCCCCTGGGGAGTTAGAGTTTCTCATTTATGTTCACCCAAAACCTTACTTTGAAAGAACTATTTTGGAGAAGTTCACAGTGCACACGATGGAAGCATTGAAAACATCTACTCTTTCCCAGGGGCAGTCAAGGGAGATAGGTCCTTCTGAAATGGAAGGGAACCACTCCCCAAAGGAGCATTTCTGAATGAGAGATTAGCAAGGGTTTCCTCAGCAAAAAGCTCGATGTGAGGGCAAGCATCCCCTTCCCTGGCCTGAACGAGCAGCGTGTCATCCCGGGACCTACCCAACACCCTTGGACAGCCTAAGGAAAGGACCTTCTGGCACTGTTCAGACCAACAGCTGAGCCAGGGGCCTGACTAGTGCTCACCAGCATCTGAGCCCATTCGCTGGCTTGAGGACGGACACAAAGAGCCACCCTGATCCCAAGTCCAGGCCTTTAATGAGCCCCTCCACTCCTCACCTCTCAGACATCCCCTGTTTACATTTTATTCGCCAAAGGACCTAATCCCCGGGCTCCAGTCTGCACTTCATCTTGTCTCTGTGTGTCCTCCAGATTAATGCTCATCAGTAACTGTCGCCACAGAGGGGAAGACCCGAGCGTGAGGACATGCCAAGCCCTGCAGCTTTGGTGCCAACCAGAGAAAATATGGAAGAGGAAACCCAAACATTTATAAACATTTCAAAATGTTTAGTTCAAGACGCCCCATGTAAATAAGAGAGTGCCCAGGAGACACTCGTTTTCCTTGGACTTACATATTTTGTCCCAAATAAAGATTAGCTTAAAAAAGAAAATCCAAGTCACCAGTCCCTGCTTCTCTTTCGCTTCTCAGGCGCATAAGATCTTTTTCATGTAGTTTGCTTCAACGCTATTGTATTTCTTCTGCGCTTTGAAACTGAACCCCTCTTTGATGGATATTAGTGGAACGTGCTTTCGTGTCTCCCTAATGAACTTTCACTTGGAAAATGCCCCAAACAAGGAAGATGCTAGAAGTGTAATGATATTTTGTTTAAAGCAAAGAGGGACCTTCTCTTCTGGTTTCCCCCACTTTGGTCCACCCCAGAGGAATAATTGGCCAAGAATCACAGAAGGGATCATTTACAGCTTTACTTTCAAGCTCCCCAGTTCCCTTTCAGACTGTGTTTACTCAGTCAAAGGCTTCAGACTAGCCAGGGTGGGCCTCCTGACAGCCCCATCTTGCTGGCCCTGGGATACTCTGATTGGGATTAAACCCATGCTGATCTGTCAGAAAGTGGGTGATTGAGAGGCTTCTTTGTGATGCTCGTGGTAAGATGAGAGGATGGAAGAGTACAGATGTGGAGGCAATATTCTTTAGGGCACCCTTCAGCTCTTGTGCCTGGAGGAGCCCAGGTCGGCAGTCCTGGGGTGATTACTGGCTACACGGAAAGCAAATCCAAAATGGAAGACAGCTTGGCACCATGGGAGAAACTGTTCAGTGGTGGTGTTCTTTATTTTATTTTTTTCTAACAATTGAAAATATCCTGTGGGGAACAGTCTTCTCAAATCCAATCAACATTAAGTTTCAAATAAAACTAAGTATACAGGAAATAAGTGAGCAACAAAATATAAGGCCATTAGATGTGCCTACATTGGTGTTCTTGTTTTTCCCTCAGTGGGTGATTCCTTAGGGAGAGATTAGCTATAATAATTAGTACTTTTGTAAATAAAAGAAATTGTGTGAAGCTGGAAAATTTACAATAGATGAAGTATAGTTGTCAAAGCACCAAATTCTCAGTGTGGCCAACTAGGAAACCTGCATTCTTTCCGTTGCTGAGTCACTTGCTGGTTGTACAGGCTTGGACAAGTCCCTGTCTTTTGAGCTTCTGCTTCTTCATCTATAAAATGGTGACATGCTTCCAGGTTCTGTTCTTCACAGGTTTGTTCTGGGAATCAAACAAGGCCTGAGGGTGACAGCACCTGGGATCCCTAATACTTGACTGATTATTATCAACTGCCTTTGGAGTATGGGCTTTAGAAGCTGAGGTTCCCCCTTTGGTCAGTATCACCCACAGGTCATTATTCAGAACTTCCCAGCTCAGGGGTTCAGAATTTCTCACTGCTATGCTTTTTTGTTAGTTGTTCATCTTTTTTTTCCTTTTGTTTTTAGTTGACATATCATGATTATAGAGTAATCACATAATGGTTGACACATTTATAGAGTGTAGCGTGATATTTTGATATATGTATACAATGTGTAATTATCAAATCAGGGTAATTAGCATATGCATTACCTCAAACATTTATCATTTCTTTGTGTTGGGAATATTCAAAATCCTCTCTTCTAGCTATCTGAAAATGTATAATAAATTATTGTTAACTATAGTCACGCTACAATGCTATAGAACACTATGACTTATTCCTCCTATCTAGCTGTAATTTTGTATCTGTTAATCAACCTTTCCTGTCTTCCCTTCCCTGCCACCCTTCCTAGCCTCTAATAACCACAATTCTACTCTCTACTTTTATGAGCTCAAGTTTTTTAGCTCCTACACATGAGTTAGTACCTTCAGTATTTCTGTGCCTGACTCATTTCACTTAACATCATAACCTCCAGGCTCATCCATGTTGCCATGAATTACAGGATTTTATTCTTTATTATGTCAGAATAATATTACTTTGTGTATTTATACCAATATATATTCCAATATCTATTGAGATGATCATACTTTTTTTGTCCTTCATTCTGTTGATGTGATGTATCACATTGACTGATTTGCATATGTTGCACCGTCCTTGCATCCCTAGAGTAAACCCCACTTAATCATGGTATATTATCTTTTTGATGCATTGTTGGATTCAGTTTGCTAGCATTTTGTTAAGGATTTTTGCACCTGTGTTCATCAGAGATGTTGGCCTGTGGCTTTTTCTGTTGTGTCCTTGTCTGAGTTTGGTATCAGGGTAATTCTGGCTTCACAGAATGAGTTAGAAAGAATTCCCTCTTCTTCATTTTTCTTGAAATAGCTTGAGAAGAATTAGTGTTAGTTCTTCAAAAGCTTGGTAGAATTCAGCAGTGAAGCCATCTGGTCCTGGGCTTTTCTTTGTTGGGAGACTTTTTATTACTGATTCAATCTCATTACTTGTTATTGGTCTGTTCAGGTTTTCTGTTTCTTCCTGGTTCAATCTTTATAGGTTAGATGTGTCCAGGATTTGATCAATTTCCTGTAAGTTTTCCAATATGTTGGTCCATAGTTTTCATAATAGTCTCTAATGGCCCTTTGTCAATTGTAATGTCTCCTTTTTTATTTCTCATTTTATTTAATTGTGTCCGTTCTCTCATTTTCTTAGTTTGTCTTGCTAATAGTTGGTCGATTTTATTGACCAAAAAAACCAACTTTTCATTGCGTTGATTTTTTTTTTTTTTTGGTCTCTATTTTATTTTCTTCTTCTCTGATCTTTTTTGTATTTTTCCTTCTACTAGTTTTGGGTTTTGTTTTTTCTTGCTTTTCTAGTTTCTTGAGACACATCAATCACTAGGTTGTTTATTTGAAATCTTTCTACTTTTTTAACGTAGGCATTTATTGCTATTAATTTCCTTCTTAGTATTGCTTTTGC
This sequence comes from Homo sapiens, assembly GCF_000001405.40. Lineage (NCBI taxonomy): Eukaryota > Metazoa > Chordata > Mammalia > Primates > Hominidae > Homo > Homo sapiens. The sequence goes on from NC_000003.12 coordinate 193,953,832, forward strand.
TTTATCCTATAGGTTTTGGTAAGTTGTGTTTCTATTTTCATTTGTATCAACAAATTTTAAATTTCCTTCTTTATTTCTTTATTGACCTATTGGCCATTCAGGAGCATGTTGTTTAATTTCCATGTGTTTTTATGGTTTCTAATGTTCCTTTTGTTATTGATTTCTGGTTTATTCCATTGTGGCCTGAAAAGATGCTTGATGTGATTTTTATTTTAAAAAACCTTGAGACTTATTTTGTGGACCAAGTTCAATGTTTCTTTGTTGAAACAAAGATTTCTTGTCTAAATGATCTGTCTGATGCTGAAAGTGGGATATTGAAGACCCCAGGTATTATTGAATTGGAGTCTAGAGTCTCTTTAGCTCTAATAATATTTGCTTTATATTTGAGGGTGCCCCAATGTTGGGTGCATATAGGTGTACAGTTGTTATAACTTCTTGATGAATTGATCCCTTTTTAATTATGTAATTATCTTCTTTGTCTCTTTTGATGTTTTTTGACTAAAGTCTATTTTGTCTGATGTAAGTATGGCTACTTCTACACACTTTTGGTTTCTATAGGTATGGAATATTTTTTCCCATGCCTTCACTTTCAGTCTCTGTATGTCTTTACAGGTGAATGAGTTTGCTATAGGCAAAATGTAGTTGGATCTTATTATTATTTTTTAAATTGATTCAGCCAGTCTACATCTTTTAATTCAGGTTTAAACCATTTACATTCAAAGTTGTTATTGAAAAGTGAAGACATACTCCTGTCATTTTGTTGATTATTTTCTGGTTGTTTTGGATGTCTTCTGTTCCTTTATTACTCTTTTATTGTTTATCTTTGTGTTTTGGTGGTTTTCTGTAGTGATAACATTTGATTCCTTTCTCTTTCTCACTTGTGTATCTGCTCCACAGGAAGTTTTATATTTTCATGAAGGAAGATGTCATTCTTTTGGCTCCAGGTGTAATAGGGTCCCCTTAAGCATTTCTTGTAGGACCAGTCAAGTGATGATAAATTTCCTCAGTCTTTGTTTGTCTGGGAAAGACTTTACTTCTCCTTCATTCCTGAAGGATAGTTTTGCTGGATATAGTACTCTTAGATAGCAAACTTTTTCTTCTAGCACTTTGAATATATCATTTTATTCTCTCCTGGCCTCTCAAGTTTCTGCTGAGAAATCTGAAGTTAGTCTGATGGAGATTCCCTTCTATGTTACTTGACAGTTTTGTTGTTTTTAGAATTCTCTGTCTTTGATTTTTGTTAGTTTGACTATAATGTGCCTCAAAGACATTTTGGGTTGAATCTATTTGGGGATCTTTGAGCTTCCTGTATCTAGATGTCTGTATCTCTCCCAAGTCTTGAGAAATTTTCATCTATTCTTTCATTAAATGTATTTTCTATGCCTTTTCCCATGTCTTCTCATTCTTAAACTCTCAAAATGCAAATTTGCCTAATAGTGTCCCATATGTCATGTAAACTTTCTTCATTCTTTCTTATTTATTTATTTATTTATTTATTTATTTTGTCTGGGTTATTTCAAAAGACTTGTATTTAAGTTCAAAATTTTTTTCTCCTGCTTGGTCTAGTCTATTGTTGAAGCTCTTAATTGTATGTTTTATTTAATTCATTGAATTTTTCATTTCCAAGGTTTCTATTTGGTTATTTTTTATACTATCAATCTCTTTGTTGAGTTTCTCATTCAGATCATGAATTGTCTTTTCTTGTAGATGTTTCTATAGTGTCAGTTGAATAGGATGCTTTGGCTTTGGTTCTGAGTGGGTGCAGTAATGTAGCCTTTGTATTTTTTTGGCTGTAATCAACATCAGTGGTGACTTTGAGTGCCTCAGTGGCCTACGCTACAGTTGTTTGTAGAGGCTGTGGCATGGCTTTGACAAGGATAAGAACACTGGGCAGCCCAGTTCCTGGGCCCCTGGGGAGTGCCTGTGGGTGCACAATGGCTCTGCTACTGAAGTGGTTGAGGTTGCTGGCCATGGCATTTGCAAGCCCCAGGTGGGCCAACCCCTGGGAAGCTTGCACAGGTTTGTGGTGGTTCTACTGCTGGAGGGGGCAGGGTCACTGGCAGCTGGCAATGGCAGGCGCCGCGGCGGTTGGCTCTCAGGCTCTGGAGAGTGTGCCCACTGGCTCCCTCTATCCTGGGGGCAGCCTCCTTGCTGTGCTGAACTACCTGTTTCCCAGGATGTAGGACATTGTACGGGCTCGGGTTCAGGGTCGCAGCTGCATTGCTGAATCCAGCTGTCTTTGTGACACTGCAGTCCTCTGGGTGGATGTGGTGGGATGTCAGTGGGGCCCTGGTGTGAATTTCCTTTCCAGAATAATGCAGTCATGTGGACTCCAGGTAGCTGCCTATACTGGGCTCAGGGCCTGTGAGGGCTGAGGGGCTCTCTTGTAGCCAGGATTGCAGGTATCTGTGGTGGGAATGTGGACTTCTGGGGGTCTCCCACTTACCTTTTCCCTGCAATGGGCAGTTCTTCCTGGCTCTGAGCTAATCCTGACTGGCTGCTTCACTTCCCTCTCTATGTTGCCATCCTGAGTTTCCATGCCTTAGAGGGTCATTGTCACTACCTTGTTAAATTTCAATGCTCTCCCTTAGACACTCTATTCGAGGGTACTTCTCTATTTGTTGGTTTGGTCCTTCTTTGTGAAGGAAACAAGTGCTGAGCACCTCTAGTCCACCATCTTGAGGATGCTCAAATTGGGAGCTGGTTTCAACTTAGTTTTAAGGTTTCATAGGTTTAGTTATGTCATCAAATGAATTTTCACACTGTTACCAGGTCTCTGCAGCCAGAGTCACCCAGTGCTCCTTGTGAGTTGCTGCTCCTCCACCATGTGGTACTGTCACTCGCTCCTGGGCTTTTGTTCATGTTGTTGGCTCAGCCTGGAATGCCCACCTCCCATTTCCCTCTTCTATATTTCTAAAATCCACTCTTCTCTTAAAGCTCAGTGCAAATGCTAACTTCTCCATAAGCCTTCTCTGATTCTTTTTCTCCCAATAAAAAATGACCACGTTGCCTCTGAGCCCTGGCAGCACTTCACCTCTTATAACTTTCAGCAGTCTTTGTCTTCGGTCATTTTCTTGCTTCATGTGGCCTCTCCTACTATATGGCTTGAGGCTGGGGGCTGTGTGAGCAGTATTTCAGTACACAGATGAGAAGAGCACCCAGTGGGCAATTATTATTATTATTATTATTATTATTATTATTATTATCATTATTATTATTTTGACGGAGTCCTGCTCTTGTTACCCAGGCTGGAGTGCAATGGCATGATTTCAGCTCACTGCAACCTCCGCCTCCTGGGTTCAAGTGATTCTCTTGCCTCAGCCTCCCAAGTAGCTGAGATTACAGGTGCCCACCACCACGCCCAGCTAATTTTTGTATTTTTAGTAGAGACGGGGTTTCACCATGTGAGCCAGGCTGGTCTCAAACTCCTGACCTCAGGTGATCCACCTGCCTCGGCCTCCCAAAGTGCTGGGATTACAGGTGTGAGCCACCACACCCGGCTGGCAATTACCATTTCCTTAAGAATGAGAACTACTGTAGTTACAGTCCTTATCCAAATTTTATTTGAAAGCAACTTCAGATAGTCTTCATGATGCATAGTACCATGTTCACTGAAACTTGTACATATCAGACCTGTGTTCTCACTTTGCACTTACCAAAGGATTGCACAAAGTGAGTATAGGGTTTCAATATGCAGACATGACACTGTGCAAAGTGAGGATTACTTGTATATCTAAACAATAAATATGAAACAAATGTAATCCATCTAATCACATGAAAAAAATACCAGGAAGTCTCATGCATTGAGGGCAGCCAGTTCTGTATATTAAACACAGAACTCATAGACAGTCTTGTAAATCAAAGCCCTGGCAGAAAATAGCAATGAATGTCCAATCTCAGAGTGGAAAGGGTTTTAGTGATTGAAGAACCATGTGGTTACCATTTCAGAACCATTACATTGGCTTATGCCAGGCTCTTGATAGAGGCTATGTATGGATGGATACAAGAGGTAACGTGAAATATGTAGCTTACATGCTGAAACATGATCATTTCTAGGATATTTTAGTAGCTTCTGAAGACAATGAGGCAGAATATTTAGAATCCGTATGGTCCCAGGAATGCCTTAAAGTCCCCTAAAATCAAATAAACATCAGCATCGCTGGCGTCCTGCTGCTTCCCACAGTGAATGCTGTGACGGGCACAGAAAGACTCACAGAACAATACATTTTAAGCCACTAAAGAGCCATGAAACTGCACAGCAAATCTATTTCAAAAGCTAAAATGCTGAGTTTATATCCTCTACAAAAGAAAGGGACACAGGAAAACAATTAGAAATGATGGAAGATGATGATAAACAGAAGTTTAAACAACTTTACAGGGAGCCAGGCTGCCTGGGAATGCTGAGGATCAGCCAGAGGGCAGAGCACAGGGTGCAGAGTGAGGACCTCCAGGTTTGGGAGTCGGCTGCTGAGCTCCAGGAGGTTCCAGAGACACCGCTGCACTGGGTCTTGGTTCTCAGCACCTTCACCAAGGGTCAAGGTGAAGGCTGAGGCATGTTCAAAGTCCACTAAAGATGAGATAAAATGGAATGAATGTGGGCTTTGGAATCTGCAAACCAACTCAGTCTCTCAGCTGGGGTCTTTGGCAGGTTCATTAACCTCTCTGAGCTCATTCTTGTGTTGTGAGAAGAGCCGTGGCGGGGGGTTAGAAACTTTTCGTGATAGTCCCAGAGCCAGCCTAGCGTTCCAGCAGCCTTGAGCAAATGGCATCCCCTTCTCCTCTTTTTCATTTTTCATCTGTAAAATGGAAATTATAACTCCTTGCCATTTCCAGGGAGGTTGTGTGGACTGAATAAAGACATGTGTGAAAACACGTCAGTAAAACTCTGAACAAGTATAAGGGATTCTTAACACCATTGTCAATGGCTATTTGGGAACCAATTCAACTCTCTACTTTTCTGAATAGAGACAAGCAGTTAGACAACTATGAAAGAAACACAAGACCCTGTTACTGACTGAATTGTGTCCTCCAAAAAGACATCCCCAGTACCTATGAATGTGACCTTACTTGGAAATAGAATCCTGGTAATATAATCAAGTTAACTTAATCAAGTTAAGGATCCCTTCTTATAAGGACATCAGTCATTGAATAACATCTGCCTCGCCCCCACCAATCTTGGACAGCTTCATTTCAATTTAGGATGGACCCTAATCCACTGAGTGATGTTCTTATAAAAAGAGGAAGGTGGGCCGAGCACAGTGGCTCATGCCTGTAATCCCAGCACTTTGGGGGAGGCCAAGGCGGGTGGATCAGCTGATGTCAGGAGTTCAAGACCAGCCTGGCCAATGTGGTGAAACCCCATCTCTACTAAAAATACAAAAATTAGCCAGGGGTGGTGGCGGGTGCCTGTAATCCCAGCTACTCAGGAGGCTGAGGCATGAGAATTGCTTGAACCGGGGAGGCAGAGGTTGCAGTGAGCAAAGATCATGCCACTGCGCTCCAGCCTGGGCGACAAAGCGAGACTCTGTCAAAACAAAACAAAAAGAAAAGAAAAGAAAAAAGAAAAAGGGCATAAGAAGACACAGACACACAGGGAGAATGCCAGGTAAGGACAGAGACAGAGATCGGAGTGATGCGGCTGCAAACCAAGGAAGGCCAGGGACTGACGGCCACCTCCAGAAGCTAGGAAGAGGCAAGGAAGGATTCTGCTCAACCTCAGAGGAAGCGCGGTCCTGCTGACACCTTGATTTCAGACTTCCAGCCTTCAGAACCGAGACAGAATAAATGTCTGCTGTTGAAGCCAGTCTGTGGTATTTTGTTATGGCAGCCCCAGGAAACTAACACAGACCCCCTAATCTCCTCTTCCCTGTTCAGTAGATACATGCTATAACACTTACCCTGGAAGACCTCTCCAAACTCTTATAAGTTCTCCCCATAAAAAGGTTCATACTTCTATGTTTCTAAAGAGCTTTGCCACCATTTTAGCAGCTTCTCCTAAAATCTCTTTAGAGACCTGCTTATAACTCATCCTTGGGGTTGGTGCTCCTGGAACCACTGTAAACAGGAGATCATCTGTCTGGTGCTCCTGGGAGGTGAAGCTTCTTGGACCAGCTGCAGAGCAAGCAGCACTCTGTAGAAAGGGTGTAGAAGGGGCAGGAACTGTGACAGATGAAGGACACCATGATGTACTTTGAAGGGCCTGACATAGACTTGCCACTTCCTCTCTCCTTTTGCCTCCCAGAAAGTGGGTCCATAGAGCCTTCTTCTTGCTCAGGTCACAACACAAACTAAATCTACCTTGCTTGGTGCCTGCACCAAGAGGTCAACCCCCTGAGTCCCTGGAATGAGCACTGGATTATGAGTCTAGAACCCTGTGATCCATTCCTAATTCTGCCACTCACCAGCTCTACCAGATTTTCTTCATCTATAAAATGGGTCTATCACCTCCACCTGGCAGGGAGGTTGTGGACCACAGGTCAGACAGGAACGTAGAAGAGCACTGAAAATGAAAAGTGGTGAAATCATTATCACCATCGTCTTCCACCAGTTGTCAACGCCTGGTTGGGGAGAAACCTCAAAGAGGACCAGGAAAACTGGATCAAAGTGTCCAGCTGGTAGAAGAAGAGTCAGCTGTAGGGCCTGATCCTCTGGCATTGGCTGCCCAGGGAGAGCGCAGTTGAGATGCATTCTCCCGGTGGGTAATAAAATGAGTTTACGTAGGGAGGAAGCAGGATGTATAAAGCCCAGGAGCCCGATCTGTTTCTGAGATCAAACAGAGCAGCATTGTGCCGGGGTGTGGAGCTGATGTCAGCGTCTAGAATGCTGGTTGGAATCACCCTGGTTACGCAGCTGGACCGGAATAAGGCAAGTCTGTATCTGAACTCATTAATTTTTACAACCAACTGAACTGTTCTGCCTTTTTTTGCGGGGGAGGCGGTAGGGGGAGGTGGTGCAGGAGGAGAACAAGGGAAGAAAGGCAAAGGGGAGGAGCTAGTATGTATGGAGCAGGGGGCTTCCCACCAGCAGACACTATCTCATTATTCCCCAGCAAACGCCAGCTTCGAACCCCCAGCCCCTGGGACAGTCAGGCCTAACCGCGGCAGCAGGTCCTGCCAGGGGAAGGAGAGAAACGGGCCAGTAAGACATAAGGATAATTAGAGTGGCACAAGCCGCTCCTAGGCGTTCAGGTTATGTCAATGTTTCCATTATATGCCTCACTTTTCAGGGGTTTATAACGGAGCTATAAAAACTCACGCCAGCTGAGAATTTGGCAGGCCAGGTCACAGCAGCAACGGAGGGACTGTTTTTTTAATTCAATTCAGCTGCTTGTAACTTGGGGTAGGGGAGGACGTGGTACACTTGGATAACTCAAAGGGGCTGGTTTGAAGTATGGGGCACTATTTTGCTGTGTGATCAGCCCTCCTCCTCCTACTGTCATTTCTTTGTGCTACAGGAAAAGGAACCGCATTATATAAATGCATCCCAAACACTTCCCAAGCCAAGAATGTACAGACACTTTCCAAGCGCCAGCCAACTCAGCTTTTCCCCATTCCTAAGAAAGTATACAGGTCAGCCTCCTTCCAGCAAATGTGCAAACCATCTCACCCAAACCTCTACACAAAAAATTAACAAGCTTCTGCAGATGAGCTGTTTGGTGCTCAATCTGTCCTATGATGAGATGATACATAGTAAGAGCTATTCCAGACAGATCCCAGTATTTGGGACAGTCCTTTTGCATTCGTGTAACAGGATTTGGCCTGGTTGATCAGTGTTATCCAAATCTCATCGGATGGGGTTTGTTGGCCTCTCAGGCACAGAGTGAAGACAGCTCTTTCTCTATAATTTAGCCCAGAATCTCCAATTCAGTCAAAGTTCCCAAATCCTGCAGGATCTCTGACAGTCCAGTGCACAGGTCCTTCCACATAGAGCATGGAGGCCTCTTTGATTTTCCTGTCAGAAGTCCTCTCTCTCTCCTCTGCTCTCCTACCTACTCTCTTCCTATTACACGTATCCTTTGACTGCTGTGTTACATTTCAGTGATTTTTGCATGTCTTATGTATTTTACTGTATGGTGAGCCCCTTATGACAGAGTCCTGAGCTTATTAGTCTCTACTTTCTCCAATGTGCCAAATTTAGGTGGACTCTGCTCAGGAAATGTAGGTGGAATTAATTACGAAGTAATTAATGAATGACAATCAGAAGCCAGGTGGCAGACAGCAGAAATAAAAGTAAATGTTGAGCAGACAGGGACTTATCAATTCCTTCTTTCTTAATAGAAAACAGCATATCGAATTAATTTCTTACCTTGCTACTGATAGTAACATTAAAAAATGATAAAATGGGGGGAGGGAATCAAGATCCACAACCAGAGTACAGAAACACGATGCAAGCAATAACATGTATGTTCATATGCTCATAACTACGGTAACATAACAGTTATAAAAAGCAAATAAAAACATGTGTGTACCTCTACACACAACTCTATTAGCAAATACCTACAGGTACAATGAGAGAAGCATATTTTATTGCATGCACTGATTTTCCTCTCCATTATAACTTAGTCCCTAGCCCCTCATGCTTTGAAAGTGCTTTATAAACTATGAATAAGTAACTGCATACATAGAGAGGGATGATGTTGTAGCACTGTAGCACATAGAATATCCAATAAAAATTTGCCTAATGAATGAATGAACAAATGGGTGAACTACTATGGTCATTTAACTGAAATAATACTTCTTCAAATGCTAAAGAAAATATTGTTAGTGATGGTAACTAATTTAAGTTCCATCATAAATACCCAGCTCTGATCCAAAAGTTAGTTAATGATAGGATTTCAGTCTTCCTTAGGGGTTCAGAAGACGGTGGCCAAATGTCACAGTCAACAGGGCAATGGACATACATGTTTGTGTGATTGAAAACTGGTCTTTCCAACAAATTTGCACTGATCTGGACAGTGGAAGGTAGCAGAGCTGGGAGGGTCCAAGTATGATGAAAGGGTAGGTGAAAAAAGATGATCAAAGTCAGAGGCTAGGATTGCTTTTATAAAGGAGCCTGGGATGAATTGCATTTTCTGGAAGATTTCTAGTGTTGCTCTATAATTTCTGTTTAATTGGAATGTGAAGTTCTTCATAAATTAAGGAGTGTAGCTGAAGCTCATGTCTCTAAGTTAGGACACTGAACTAACTTGACTGCCCACCCTGAGATCAATCAATGGCCAAGAGAACTGAGATGACTACGACAATTTAGACCCATTATCATTCATCTTCTGGCACTGAGATAGAAAAAAAAGCCTAGCCCTGAAATCAAAGCATCTCTCTGTACTGCCAAAACAACTCAGGACTCTGTTAGCAGGGAAAAGGGGATGGTTGTTAGGGAAGCATCCGACAGGGTCTGCCCCAGGGCAAAATAAGAAAAACTAGACGCTCTCAAAATGTGGTTCCCATACGAGCAGCATCTGGGAACTTCTTAAAAATGCAAATTCTTGCCCCCTGCCCCGCCCCCCAACACCCAGACCCACTGAATCAGAAACTCTAGGGTTGGGGGCACACAAACTGTGTTTTGATAAGCATCCAGGTGCTTCTGATACTTGCTCAGGTTTCAGAACCTGAGCAAGTCTAAGAAAAGTCTAAGAAAATGCTTAGCAATCATGCCAGATGACTCAGTGACATTACGGAGCATATGCTTCATCAAAGCCCTCTTACGAGAAAGAGAGGGGAGGATGCGGAAGGGAGAGAAAAAGAGAAATTGACCTTTGTTGAATGCCTACCAAAGGGTGGGCAATGTCCTTGGTGCCTTCCCCTATCTCCTTGAAACTAATCCTCATAAACCACATTTTCCCAGACGAGAAAGCTGAGAATCAGAAGTTAAGTGACTGGGTCTGGTAAATGACACAGCTCAAATTCTAAGTTTGGTCTGATTCCAAGCCAGTGCAACTCCAACTGTTATACCTAATAGGGAACAATCCCAGTAAACTTAGATTTGCTCAATTTATAAAAATGCAATTTAGAATAAAATGTATTTTTTTTTTTACTGAGCATTAGAGCCCTTTGCAGTTTTGCTCAGATCTATATCCCATCATTACCTTCACCGTAGCCCATAGCCCACACTCACTCCCACACACACGTCGTGTCACCAGAAGGTCTGCACTCAGTCCCTCCTCCCTGGAATGCCCTCCTTGGTCTATTCTGCCTGTTGAACTTTATTCTTCTATAAATAATTACACAACTAAAATTGGCTCTCCCTGACTATTTATAGTATAGCGCGTGAACCAATTTGCCACTCAACAATTGTCTATGTAATAAATAAAGGCAAGATTGCTTAGCTTGAAGTCTTCCTCTACCAAGAAGCACCTTCAAGTTTTCCTTTCTAACCCAATGGCATTTTGCTTGCATTTCTAATTTCTACATCTGTCCTATGATGGGATGATACATAGGCTGCCATCTCCCAACAAATGTGTAAATTCGCAAAGCCAAGGCTAGGTCTTACTCATCTCTCTAACCTCCACAGCAGCCAGCATAGGGTTTCACATTGAGTAAGTGCTCAAAATTACGTATGTAATTACATAGACAGGACTGAACTATATAACATGAAATGTACACCTCCACTTCAAAGAACAGGAGTTTTCAAGTAGCTGATGAATTCTACCATTTTAAATAAACAGAAGCATATTTCATGCTAACACTGTTGATGAAGGAGCAAGCCTTTCTTTTGGATCATTCCAGTGGATTTTGCATTGCCCTGTGCTTAGCTAATCTAATTCTGAGAATACAGTGTCACTGTTGGATGTTGAAATGGAGCCATTTGGGGAAGCTGAACGGAAAACCTCCCAGTAGGAATTATTGAGGCACCTGTTGAATTACCCATAATAAATGATACCGGCCAACTCACAGCATAATCTCCTCACACACCCTGTACCCTGACCATTCTCTCCCTGCTTGAACTTGTTGGATGACTTTCAAGAGTGTTTGGAAATTAAATATATCCAGTAGCCTCCAAAAAGTATCAAGGGACAACTTTAAAAGTGACATTGAACCATAGATAATGATATTTCTTTATAAAGGTCTTTAAAAGAACACCTTTCTACAATAAATTTTGAGTGTTAGGGGAATGACAGGGTTAGAAGGAAGGATTGGAGAGAAAATATGAAAATGGTTAATAAAATCTGGGACTTTCTAGGCAGACAACACCACAGGTTCAAAGAAAGCTTATAAACATAAATATCAAAGAAGATAGTAATAATGTGTTCAATTACTCTTTCACTCCTTTTCTCTCCTTAGTTATTCTTCAGTATTTCCTGGACTTTCATTTTCAATAACTAACAGTAAGGATTTATCAATTACTTTCCATACCACAGGGCTCAGCCTGAGAGGCAAAAAGAGAAAGAAAGGATGGCTGCCATGTCTTATGTGTTTTTACCTTTTAAGGATGTAGATATGCTTTCATATTCTTGATCTCATTCCATGCAAGGTACTATTCTCATTTTAAAGATGAGTAAATGGGAGGCTGAGTGAGGGCTGAAGCTCATGTCTTCTGACTCCAAGTCCTGTGCTGCTGCAAAGACTCAGATGGTTTTTAATAAATTTATAGCATAAAATATATGCTCTCACAATATAAAAAGCCTTAAAGGATGTGTTTTATAGACCTCTGGGTAACAAGGCATTGCATTTAAGTGTTTAACTTCCTCTACACCAACAGCCCCTCTGAAACAACCCAGAGAAGCATAAAAAAGGAAAAGCTTTGGTGAAAGGGGAGAAAAAGTACTACAGCAATGTTGGGAACAAGGCAAGTGCACCTTCCACATGGTAGAAATTGGCACCATCCTTTTCAATATGGCTTAGATGGGACCAGAGGACGGGAGACACTGTGGACAGTCTTGCAGCTCTTCTTCCTCAAAAACAGCAGTGGTTATAGGAAGTAAAGGGCAGAAGGACCTTGAGATCCCCACCAAACATGACTGCCCCACTTCAGTTTTGGAGGGCTGAGGGAGTGTCGTGTGCAGGTTAGGTAAGAAGACCAGGACTTGCTTCAGCTGTAGATGAGGAGCATTTGAAAGCAGTAGCAGTAGGAGACCCCGGCATAAGCACAATGGCTCCATTACACGGATATTATACAAGGGAGCCAACTTCACCTTGTGGACAACAACTCAAGGAAGGAGATAGAAGAAAACACAGCTTCATCCTAGTGTTAAGTCAGGCAGAAAGAAAATGAAATGCAGAAAGTCAGCACAGGACCCAGCAGCTGCATCACTGGTAGAGAAGGGTGCAGACAAGGAGCCCCAGTCCTCTCCCTAAGCCTGTGGTAATTCCAGCTCCCTCCTTCTGCCTCTGTCCCCTATTGTCTGCCCTTGATCCCAGCTTCTTCTCTACTCCCCTCCATCTGTTGCACGTCTTAAGCAGTCACATAAATTTACTTCCATCAAAAAAAATGTACTCGCATTGTTTATGAACAAACAGCAGAACTAGACATACTTTTTTCTCGTTTCTTATAAGTAAAAGAGAACCAACATGGGGATTATATAAGACAGAAAAACTAGGCTCAAAATACAGAAAAACACAGTATCTGGCTGGGCGCGGTGGCTTATGCCTGTAATCTCAGCACTTTGGGAGGCTGAGGTGGGAGGATCAGTTGAGGTCAGAAGTTTGAGACCAGCCTGGCCAACATGGTGAAATACCATCTCTACCAAAAGTACAAATATTAGCCAGCCATGGTGGCACACACCTATAATCCCAGCTACTTGGAAGGCTGAGACAGGAGAATCGCTTGAACCCAGGAGGCGGAGGTTGCAGCAAGCCAAGATGGCACCACTGCACTCCAGCCTGGGGAGCAGAGTGAGACTCCATCTAAAAAAAAAAAGAAAGAAAAGGAAAAAAAAAGAAAAAGAAAAAGAAAGTATCTTTCTAAAAAGCAAACATGAATTACAAAATTTAGGAAACTCAGATTTAGGTTCCATAAAAATTCCAATAAAAGATAAATCAAATGATGAAAAATGAGAGATAAAAGCAGCAATGAGCAGGGCACTGGCTCAGCAGAGGCGAAAAATCACAAAATCACAAAAGTTAAGGAAACTAAAACAGAAATAGTAAATTACAATTTTCACTCAAAGCGAGAAAGAGTAGAACAGGCACTGAGACAAGACAAAATTGTCAATGCAGGAGAGAAACCTGAAAAACTGCCATGGAATAAGGAGGAAAAAGGCAAAGTGATATAAAAAATGAGAGAAAAGTTGTTGCGTTTGAAGAAGAGATAATATAGAAATCACAAAGAAGAGATGTTCCTGGGGCGCGGGGAAGAGCAGAATAAATAAAACAAACAAAATAAAATATAAAAGAAGAAAACTTTCCTGAGCTGATGTTTTCATTAAGACCAGGGTCAGCTATCCGTGACAGCTGTGAAACTAAACCATAAGGAAGGCGAAATATTTTTTATTCCATGCAGCTATGTGTCCATAGGCATATCAGGAATTATGTTTCTAAGAAGAAAACTATGGATTTGGAGGAACCACTACCAACGTCTGCCATAATTGAATAAAAATGTACATTTACACATCAAAAGATCTCACGAAGTACCTGGCAAAATTACCTTAAAGACTTCAACTAGCAGATGAACTCAAGTTCAAGAACAATAAGAGCATTTTACAATTACCTAGACAGGAAACAAGTTAGCTTACCTACAAAGATAGAAATATAGACTAGCATCAGATAGCTCTATAACATTAAACATCAGATGAAAATGGAGAAATGTTTATAGTTTTGAGTGCAAAAAATTGCCTGCTAGTCAAGAATTCTAAACTCATTTAAGTTGTCATTCATGTCTGAAAAAAATTTCTTATATTTCTTTACATTTTCTTACAAAAATTTTCAATTATTCAGATTCCTAAGCCATATCACTGACATTACTTTTGAAAAAACTACTTAAATCATACTCCAGCCAACTAGAAATTATTCAAAACGAAAAATGGAGAAGTTCTAATGAAATGGAACTCATGGTTGTTACTTTATTTTTATTTTATTTTATTTATTTATTTTTTTGGAGACAGGGTCTCACTCTGTTGCTCAGGCTGGAGTGCAGTGGTGCAATCTTGGCTCACTGCAGCCTCTGTGTCCTGGGCTCAAGGGATCCTCCCACCTCAGCCTCCTGAGTACCTGGGACCACAGGCACATGCCACCATGCTCAGTTAAAAAAAAAAAATGTAGAGATGGGGGTCTCACTACATTGCCCATGCTGGTCTTGAACTCCTGGGTTCAAGTGATTCTCTTGCCTTGGCCTCCCAAAGTGCTGAGATTACAGGCATGAGCTAGCATGCCCAGCTGTCATAGTGGTTGCTAAAAATCAATTAAACATCCTCTAAAGTATGGTTGTAAAAGACATTTTAAATACAAAACAGTAATTCTTGAAAGAGAAAATAATTTTTAAAATAATAACTGGCACACCTTTGTCAAAATTCAATGAATGCACACTTAAAATTTGTGTATTTCATTGTTTGTAAATTTTGCCTCAAAGAAAAATACTGCAAGCAATTATTAAACTCTAGTTAATGATATTTATGCAGAAGTATTCAAGAAGTATATTGATGTCTTTGTCTGTTTTACATTGCTATAAATGAATAGCTGAGACTGAGTAGTTTATAAAGAAAAAAGGTTTATTTAGCTCAGAGTTCAGCTGGATGAGGGACTGGGCATCTGGTGAAAGCCTCAGGCTGCTTCCATTCATAGTGAAAGCAAAGGGAAGCCAGCGTGTTCAGAGACCACATGGTGAAGGATGGAGCAAGAGAGAGGAGGAGGGGAGCTGCCAGGCTCTATTTAACAACCAGCTCTCTAAGGAACTAATAGAGCAGGAACTCACTCATTCCTTCCCATACCAGGGACAGCATTCATCTATTCCTTAGGGATCCACCCCAACAACCTGAAGGCCTCCCACTAGGCCCACCTCACCTCCCACTAGGCCCCACCTCACCTCCCACTAGGCCCTACCTCCAATATTGAGGATCAAATTTCAACATGCGATTTGGAAGAATCAAACATCAAACTACAGCAATTGATATTTTCAATTTACTTTGAAATGCATTTGTTTTAAACACGGGTTGATAGATGGACAGAACATGATACAGCAAGTATAGGAAAATGGCGATGGTAGACACGTGGGTGTTTACTGTAGAATTCTTTCAACTTTTCTGTATGTTTGAAAATGTTTATAAAACAGTACGTTGGAAATAAAGATAACCCCTGAGTCTAAAGTCCAAAATTAAATACATAAAATAAGAAACTGAGTGAACTTAGGAAGGAGGGGAAAATAAAAGGTTATTTCTTCACCTTGCATAAGAAACAATCAATAGGTAGCATTTTTAAAAATCAAAAATTGGGAAAATATAGATTCGTGTATTTTTAAAATTTTCAGGGCAATCCCAATAGAATTTTAAAATAGGACCTATACCTTCCATATCACTAGTGGAAAAATAGAAAATACAAACAACATAACACAAACAATTTTAAGCAGAGAGCAAGAAAATATTTTTAAAATCCAGAAAGCATAAGCAACTGGACTAAAGTTAAAACAAAAATGGTAACTGTGATAACAAATGTAAGTGGCTTTAGCTCCCATATTTGAAAAACTAAACTTATCAATATGCTATCATCCCAAGATATATACCTCAAATAAAGAAAAGCATTAGAATAAGAAAGGATAAGCTAGCAAATACATCACATGCACAAAGACTCAATTTGTAAAGAAAACAGGGTCACAATATTTTGTATCAAAGTAGAATTTAAAACGGAAAACTTACATGACATTTAGATAAATATTGAAAAAGTGAATAGCATGTAAATAACTGTCATGATGCTTTAATTGCCACATAATGTAGAATAAAAACAAATAAAGCAAGAATTCGTGGAAATTCAGAAAGAAATGGATAGAAATGACTTAGTAATGGCCGACTTTAAAGTCACCATCTTTGACAGCTCGGAAAGGTAATACACATACGATAATATAATAATAAGTTAAGAAGCACCCCAGGCATGTTTCAATCAGTGCAAGTTGATCAGGACAATACCTTTGCTCACACAAGAGGCTGCACTTTTTCTTAATGAAAACGGACATATGTGACCTTCTTTGGCATGCACCTACCATGGATTTACACTCGGCTTATGCTGTCTACACACCCCATTTGCACGTGTGCTGCCAACAGACCATTCTCTCCTACACATGAGATTTAACCAGACCCAAAAGCTATAAAACCTAGAGACGTTTCATTGTTGATTTGGAAGAAGAAACGGTATGGGCTGTAAGAACTGGAAAAGATTTCTTCTGACTATTAAACTCTGAGCTATTTCAAAGCAATAGATTCTAGCTATAGAGTGTTTAATAAAATGAGGAGGTTTGGGATCTTCCAAGCTATGTTTCATTTCCTAACCCTAGACCATGCTTCTGCAACTGGAACTAGAGATCAATGGGAAGAGCAACAAGGGTAAGGGAGAGTTGATGGATGTGCCTGAGGACGTTTTAGGTTTGTAGTAATGACAACATAGTCCACTGGGGGAGCTCTGCGGGCTGTTGAACATGTAGAATAGGACCTAGTTGGAAATGTGGATTGGAGAGCGAGCATCAAAAAAGTGAGTTAAGGGGGGAGGGGGGGAGGGATAGCATTAGGAGATATACCTAATGTAAATGACGAGTTAATGGGTGCAGCACACCAACATGGCACATGTATACATATGTAACACACCTGCACGTTGTGCACATGTACCCTAGAACTTAAAGTATAATAAAAATAAATAAATAAATAAATAAATAAATAAATAAATAAATAAATAAAAGTGAGTTAAAGCCCCACAATTCAAGTTACTTCGAGGATATAGGATTAACAAAGCCTGCTCAAGCCAAATGATGGGGACACGGCAGGCCAAACAGGGAAGTCTGTGTGTGATGTGATAGGCAATATAAAGCCAGCAAAGGTCTGGGATCAGGGAGGTCATTGTAATTGTCAGGAAATTCATATCAGATTAAGGCCAGTTTTGCCTCCCCACGTCTGTCAGCTGACATGTCTTCTGCCCTGTGAGGAATGCAGAATGCATCTGCTCCCCCTTCCACATGGCAATAGAGAAAAAAGCAGGACTAACACTTTGCCTTTGTGCATTTCACAGGAATAGCAGGAAAAGCCTTTTGAGAAGGCTCAACACTCACAGAGAAAACCACATTAATCATCAGCCTAGGAAACTGGAACACTCCACAAAACCATTGCTATAGATTCAATATTTACACAAAATCTGGAGGTTGAAGTTCTTCCTTTCCTTGCCACAGAAAGGAAACCATGAAAAGCTGCCAGAAAGAGAATCTCAGTTCCTATTTACACTCGCCAAATTCATAAAGCGCAACATTCTCATCTTATAGATAAGGAAAACTGAGTCGCAAAAAAGACAAAGTGTCTTGATCAATAACGTGTTCATACCCTTTACCTGACCATGCACATTTTGAGGTGCGGAAACTGCAGCCCCAAGCGTACAATGCCCTGCCCGACATCACACAGAGAGTGAACACCCAAGCAAACAGTCATCCCCGTTTGCCCCACTGCTCTACCCCATGTACCAACCAAAGCAGGCTAAGCAGAGAGAAAAGGAGGAAGGTAGCTGTGCTGTGTCTGAAGAAGCAAACCAAAATAAGTCTCATTCAATCCGGTCTTTGGGACGGGTAAAACCCCTAGTAATAGAGGAACCTGCAGACACGTAGTTGGGTTTTGGTGGAAATCATTGGGACCTTCTCTGCTATGTTTCTCGAAACAGTGTCTTTCAGCTTTCTGCAAGGGAGTTTCCCAGAGGTCTTATTACAAGTATGGTTTGGCTGGAGCCCAGCCCAGACTTCCTGGGTCAGAATCTCAGGGTGGGGCCCTGGAATCTAAATTTCTAACAAGCTTCCCCAGTGGATTTTATACACACTGAAGTACAAGAGCCACTGTGGCTCACATTCTTGACCAGACAGTATGAAAAGACTAAGTTCAGATCTCATCCCCAAGATGGGGGTCAGACCAGACAGGGGTCACCGTCCCGCCTTTAGCACCCGGGCCCCACGTGCCCTTTCAGCCCCTGCTCGTTGCTCAGCACAGCCCAGCCCAGAATTACTCCTCCTAAAAGACATCTCTCTGCCATTTTAATTTCCAAAACCTGTCATAAAAGCAGCTCTTCTCTTCTGATGAGGTAATTGGTGCCATAATACCATTAGGAGGGTGCCCCTGGTGCACAGCTCAATTAGGAAAGGTGTATTAAATGATTTACATTTCTTTCTTTAGCTGAAACACTAGTTATAGACTTGCTAAGTAATAGGATGTTGTTAATGAGCCATAGCATGGGGCTCATTTAATTCAATACTGTAGCTTTCTAGCTAATTGAGGCATTGTTCTTCTTTACCCCACAGTCCAATTTTTCTTCTCCCAAAGCCAGGGGAAGAAAAAGAAAGGAAAAAAAGAAAAAAGAAAACCATTCGAGGGTCAGACAGCAAAAGTAAGAACCTCCATAGAGTCTGATTCCCAGCCAGTTTATGACAGCCCAGCCTTCCAGGGGATAAGATTCCCTATGTTAAGAGCTGACTGCAGGTTCATTCTAGGCTGAGGCTGAACCTAGAGGCCTGAAGAGCCCCAGGCTGAAGAACCTGGTTACAGTGTCCCCATCCTGTGAGTTCTCCACTCTACAGGAGCTCAGGGGAGGCCTGACTTGGGATCATCTAGCCTTGGTAATAAAAGTGTGGTCCATGAGCGAGCATCACGTGGGGGCTCGCTGGAAATGCAGAACTCATGTCCCACCCAAACCTACTCAGCCAGAATCCACATTTAACAAGATGCTCAAGTGATTCTCATGCGCTGCAAATTTTACGAAGCACTGGTCGAGATCCTTTCAGATTGAGCCACAACCTCCCAGGCCTCCCTCAGGGAGTGTTCCCTACTAGAAGGTAGCCTATTCCCACCCCACAGAAACATTGCTCTTTTTTAAAATATGGGACTATTCTCATGGAGGAAAAAAAAAACTTTTTTAATGAAAACAGAGAGACAGAAAGAAACCCAGAGAGAAACAGTAAAGGCCAGAAAAGGGTTGCTGAACTTGAGAAGTTCAAAAGCCCATATTTCATTTTGCTCACAAAACCACAGACCTCTCCTGCAACACACCCAAAGACTGCAGCTTTGCCTCTGCCAAGCCGCAACTGAATGGAAAGCCAGGAGAAAACACTCTTTCTAACACAGGAGAGCCAGGAACTCCAGTGCAGAGACCAACCTTCCAACCTCAGGGACTCACAGTGTGTGGAAGCAGCCAGAGGCCTTAGAAGTTATGTCTCACTCCCTTCATCCTACAGAACAAGAAACTGAGTCGTGCAGGGCAAGTGACTTGTTCAAGCAACCCAGTCCCGTTAGTGGCAGTGCTGGCTGGGATTGGGCCCAGATCTCCTGTCTCCCGTTCTCTTGCCCTCACACCACGAGACCTCAGAGAATCTATACAAGGATTCTCTTAAGATCAATATGCAAAAGCCGTTTCACTAATTTGCACAATATGAAACTATATTCTTCTAGAGCAAGTGTGACATTACTCAGTTGCAAACACTGCTGTGGACAGGTAATGTCAAGGAACAGGTTTGACTGCTGGTCTCCAGACTACAAATTAGCTGGAATAATGGGCAGAAAGTGATAAATAACCTGAGCTTCTCTCAAAAACTTGAACTGAACTCAACACTGCAGATGCTTTATCTGTCTTATTCCCCACTTTTTATTCTCTTTTCTTAACTGGCTGCTTCGTTCCTTCCATCTTTTACACCCGTACATTATCTGTGTGAGAAGACAAGCACCACCAACTCAACGGAGTCTCTCCACAACTGACTATGAATGGTTTGGCTGAATGCCCAAAGTCACCATTTATTTTTTCTTCAAATAGACAGCCAAACTTGAGAACCAAGTCAAAATAACATAAATGCCCCTCAAAACCAAAAGTCTCAACCAGCAACCCATCACCTAGCAGACCACAAGAAACTCAGATCCAAAATGACCAAGTATCCCCAGTGGGAGAATCCACAAAAGAAAACCCACTGTAAGGATGGTACTTCACAAAATCCAGGTGGATAAACCTCAATTCTCAAAACCCCCTTTTTCTGCTACCTCCTGAAGCCAAACCACCTTCCCATCTCAATGCCCTCTGCAGCCACCATCACCGGAAGTGTCAAACATCAGCCTCACGCTTATTCTGCCCATGAACGTGAGGTTTCTACATCCAGGACTTCTGGAATCACCCCTTTTTGTGGTATTTCTTTGGGTCCTGAGCACCCTGCCATTTTTCTAAACTGAAGAAAAGGGGGAAAAAAGAGGAGAAGCAAACGAAACTTCCCTGCAGTGATGTGAGTGACTGCTGTGTTTCCATGGTTTGCTCTCCACTGTTCTCGGTGACCCCTGCGGATTTCCCTTATGAGTTAGTGTCCCGGAATGTCTCTTTATTAGGTGTCTGGAGAAGTAAAGCTGTCCTGATGCCAGCGCCCCCACACTGAGGACTTTATTAGTTTTTTAATTTTCTGTCTGGGTGCTCCTGCTGCATCAAACTTTCCACAGCTGTTAGGAGCTATTAAGTCCGTAGCCTCATTGGGCCCTTTCCCCACCCCTACCCTGCTGAAGAACATGGGAAATTTCTGGACATGCTACGTGGAGCCTTTAAAATATGAATACTTTGTCTCTCTGGTGAGAAAGCACTGGGGTCCAGATGGGGAGAAGATGTTCTGCCATAAGAAAATCTCCTGGTCTGGTCCGTGCCTTGGCTTAGCACAGGGCTGTTCAGGCAGTGTGAGGACCCGACAGGAGGGAGGGGCAGGCAGAAGGGAGAACCCACTTTTTTATCCATTCTGCCCAGCAAGTAGGGGACCGGGGTTGTCCGGGCGTCGGGGGAGCGGGGAGCTCAGACTGTTTTTAGACTGACTTGGAATCCGGCCCAGAGCTTGATGCCCGGTTCAAAGCATTCCCTCCTGAGTGGACATTACAAGACCTGCAGCGAAGAATAAAACAGAAAGACTTGCAAACATTTGCCTTGTAGGCGCACAGCTGTGGTTTTGTACAACAGGCCAGTGCTATTGCTCCTGTCTCCCCTGAGAGGGGAACACGAATA
Source organism: Homo sapiens (assembly GCF_000001405.40). Classification (NCBI taxonomy): domain Eukaryota; kingdom Metazoa; phylum Chordata; class Mammalia; order Primates; family Hominidae; genus Homo; species Homo sapiens. Next base: position 193,974,945 of record NC_000003.12, read on the forward strand.
CCTATCCACTCCCAAAGCCCCTCCCTGCCAGCATCCCTGAGATGCCCAGGCAGCCCAGATGAGGCCCAGCCGTCCATGAGACTCCCAGTGTGTAAACCCAAAAGCAGGTGTGCACGTGCGTGCATACACACACACACACACACCCAGCAACCTGGCTCTTTCCCATAGCACCCATGCATCTGGAAGGCAACACAACCACTCGGCCAACTCGGGGAGGATGGAGTAAGGGCCTTGAGGGTCCAGAGAATTCTCAGCCTCGTTCTGGCTCCAGCCTGCCCGGCAATTTGCTTTCCAGCGGCTGCCTTTAAGCCTCCCTTTGAGGAGACTTATTTGCAGGGTGAATGAGAAAGCCTAGAGAGAAGAAAAACCTTTGGAGATACCCGCCTGGGGAACAATTTTGCCTCTGAGAGCAAGTTGGTATTTGGGGTTAATCCCTCTGTGGAAACATTGGGTTGAAAGCCCGGAGGAGGTCAGGGGTCTGATTACGGCTTCTGTTTACATATAAACTTCCTGGTCCTAGGAGACAATCGGAGGGGTGGGGGAAGGGAGCAGGGAAACAAGGAAAGTAAAGGAGAATTTTTTTAATTAAATGGCCTTCCCTCTTAAAAATAAAGTCAACAAAATAAGGAGGAGCTTGTGGAATCAGGGTTTGATTTGAATGTCTATGTACAAATATTTCTTTTACATTTTTAAGTCATGATTTACATAATGGAGTTGAAGCATCTTTTGAAACAAAACTTGAAATACTGATATTCGTTGATGTGCATAGGTATATTTTTTTAAAAAAAGAAACAGTAGGAAAGAAACTTTAGTCAGTTATCTTCTGAGAACCAGAGGGACGCATAGATAATGAAACTAGCCAATGTGCTCAGTTGTCTTGGATTTGTTGAGCTTGGGTTCTGGTCTGATTCTTATTTAGTTTGGTCAGAGAAAAATCATCGTGAAGACTCTACAACAGGTGAATGAGCTGAAAATTATAGTTTGAAGGACAATTTGAAACTACCATAAACACATACATATAAGAAACGCCTAAATGACAGTATTAAAGCCAAACAAACCCATACTTTCAAAAGAATCAAGAGGAAAAAATACTTCTTCCACATCCTCTAAAGAAGGCAAAGCAAAGCTATACAGCTGAGGAGGGGTGGAAAAAAGTACAAAATGGTTCTTAAAAGGGACAGTTACTTTTTAAGATTTAGAGCTTGAGTAATTTTTTAGTAGATTAAATTTAAAAGACAAAATAGTTTCTTTTTTGTTTGTTTGGAGAGAAAGAGGGAGTTAGGAGTCTGTCCTGGACATACTTAAGAACATTAAACAAAATATCCGTGAAGAAAATGTGGCAACTCTATTGCCGGGGACATTTAAAACCAGGTAAGACTTGGGTGTGTAGGATTTACATCCAAAACAGTCTATAATAAAAAAGAGATCCTAAATACTTGATACTAGTTTCCTTTTGTGTTTTTCACTGGTGATTTTTTGAGGCTTTTGCAAATATTGAAGATAATTCTCACCATTTACTCGTGTCAAATAAAAAGAAAAGCATTTCTTCAATGAATCTTCTTTCTACTTTGAGTTTCCAACTGAAGAATTTTGGAAAGCCAACCACGGACATTTTGAAAGTTAATTTACCAACAGAAGTACTTTTAAAAAAGTGAACAATAGTTGAAGTCAAATTCAATAGGCTATTACTTACCCCTTTGAAATTTTTTTTAAATTTGTAATTCTCTTATTTTTCTCAGTGGATTCTGTGATCTCCCTAATTTACCATCTATTGGTTTCTTGCCTGCTTGGCCCTTTTCTTTTCTTTTCTTTTCTTTTTTTTTTTTTTTTTTGAGACGGAGTTTAACTCTTGTTGCCTAGGCTGGAGTGCAATGGCTGATCTTGGCTCACTGCAACCTCTGCCTCCCGGGTTCAAGCAATTCTCCTGCCTCAGCCTCCCGAGTAGCTGGGATTACAGGTGCCCACCACCATGCCCAGTTAATTTTTGTATTTTTAGTAGAGACAGGGTTTCACCATGTTGGTCAGGCTGGTCTCAAACTCCTGACCTCAGGTGATCCACCTGCCTCAGCCTCCCAAAGTTCTGGGATTACAGGTGTGAGCCACCACACCCAGCTGGCCTTTTTCCTCTTTTATTTCTCTCATCCCCTAAATCAGGATGGTTTCCTGATATTTTCCAACACAAATTCCTTCGGAGCATCTGACAGCAGGAAGGTGGCTGTTTCGGTAGCAGGAATAAAAAGAGACAAGAGAACAAGGAGAAAGAATGATGCAGGCAAACAATTCGGCAACAGGCCTCCAAAAGTTCACACACTGAGGAGGCCCAGAAAAGCTGTGACTTGAGGCATTGTGAAGAGACACCTACCGCAAAAGGTTTGTGGGTCTTAGGGGCACCGATTTCCTGCCAACCCCTTGCAGAATTATTTTTGAAAAGGTGAGGCATTTTGCCAGGCTGAATATGGTGGCTGAATAAAGGGGAAAGAATCTGGGACCCAGTGACAAATATCAGAGGTTGTCAGGGAGCAAGTGGTGAGTTAAAGGATGACATCAGACTATGTTATGGGCAGGGGCAGAGTCTAACAATGAGCTGCTCTTTGGGCTTCAAAATGCCAAGTGGCGGGACCCTAGGTCTGCGGTGACTATGGCCAGGATCATAGAATTGATGCCCCAAACCAGGACCCTTTGGAGAGAAAAAAGAGGGAGTTTATTATAATTATACTGGGGCAACCTGTGTGAGCTCGGACTGCCCTAGGCAAATCCAGACATTGCTGATCCTTATCCCGAACCACCCGCCTACCCCTAAAGTCTAGGAGACCAAGCTTGGCTGCCCTTCAGCATCTCCTCCAGGCGAGGCTGGGCCCTTAGCTGTGCTTCCTCTTCCCCAGGGGAGGAGCCTCTACCAAGGCCAGAAGTGGAGGAAGTTCCGTGGTCAAATGGGTGTGGGAAATGGACTATTCACCCTCTTACCCCTTCTTGCAGATTCACAATATATATTGTGAATTAAAGATGTTGAGAAGACCTGCAGTAAATTAAACTGCTGAGCATTGTGGAGCCTCTGGTTTCCCCAAAGGTGCTGGAGCACGAGGAGATCTTTTTCTACTGAACGTCTAGGACATGCAGGCAAAAACTGCTTTAAACCTTTGGAGGCAAAGTCCAGAGGCAGGTCTTGGTCTCTCGGAGGTAGAAGCCTGCAGAGTACACGGGAGCTTCTAGCACCCCTCAGGATGGCACCAGCAGATGTTCGGCTGGGTGAGGTAATATAGGAACCTACCAAGGTACAGCCAAAAAACCTGCAGAAACATGTCCGAAGCCATCCCACGCCATGAACAGGAAGCCTTTGTGTTCACATTAACACAGGCAGGCCTCCCTAGCCCCACTGATCCATCCCATCACACAAGGATGGCAATAAGGACCGCATTTGACATCCAGAAATGGTAAGCCTGACCCGAACTCAGCTGAGACACAGAGAACCTGTTTCCCTCTAAGCATTTCATCCACCGGTGACCTGAGGCCATACTTCATATATCCTGCCATTTCTCTGGCATGTGTGTACCGAAGGGAATGCTCCAGACCATCTGGGCGATAAAATTGCAGTCAAGGCCTCTCTAAACAACATGAGTTCTGATAAGGGTGGTGATGAGTGACCACAAAGACCAGGAGTCAAGGCAGAGGTTGTCTGGGCTCCAGGTGAAGCTCCACGTCACAGGCTGTGGCAGGGCAGTACCGACATGCACTCTATGAGACAGATGCAGCTGGTTTCATAGACACAGTTCTCAACCGGATTATTGCAAAATTGTCTGAGTGCATTTCCTTGTGACTGGCCTATTGCTGTTTCTGTTTGTTCTCCAAGTTGCAGCCTGAAGGATTTTTCCAAAACACAAACTTATGCAGGTCTTTCAGAGCATCGCACAATGAGATGATGAATCCATCAGTGGGCAGGGAAGCCCTACAGAAAGGTCATGGTGAAGTGAGGGGTTTGCAGAGATCACTGATTTTCATCAACAAGGTCCACACTTCTGCACATGATGCCCAAGGCTCCTTATGACAGAGGCGACTTCCCAATCGCTCCTCCTCTCTCTGCTCCTACCCCCTCTACTACATTCACTTACCCCCAGCTGCTCTTTGATCTCTAAACACAGCATTATTCTTATAATCCCTTGCTTTTCCCAACAGTGTTCCTTTGCCCATAATAGCCTTGTCTCCCTAACAAAGTCTAAATCGTGTACTTTAAGACCCACCTGAGATTTCACGGTCTTAGCTAAGAAGACTTCACCACCACCCCTGCCCCTCCTCCACATAAGCCGAATCCAAGCCTCGGTGGGCCGGCGTCACCTTCCTTGACTCTGAGCACCTGAGTGCAAGAAGCTGTCAGATTGACTGCTTTGTCCTCGATGTCCACCCCAGTGCCTTTCGGGTAGTCACTGCTCAGTTAACGTGGAGGCGTGGACTAACACACAGAACCTTGTAGGATCGCATGCAAGATTCAAACAGTTTTCCTCAGGCATTAGCATTTTAAATTTGAAATAAGAGGAACCAGAAAAATGACTTTATGTTGGAGTCTGAAAAGAATGATCAGGCTGGGCGTGGTGGCTCACGACTGTAATCCCAGCACTTTGGGAGGCCGAGGCGGGCGGATCACCTGAGGTCAGGAGTTTGAGACCAGCCTGGCCAACATGGTGAAACCCCAACTCTACTAAAAATACAAAAATCAGCTGGGCGTGATGGCAGGCACCTGTAATCCCAGTTACTCAGGAGGCTGAGGCAGGAGAGTTGCTTGAACCCGGGAGGCAGAGGTTGCAGTGAGCCAAGATCGTGCCACTGCACTCCAGCCTGGGAAACAAGAGCAAAACTCCATCTAAAGGGAAAAAAAAAAAAAGAATGATCAAAATGAGTAAAATGTGGAAATGGACCAGGGCTTTACAATCATGTTTGAGAAAAACAATGCTTGTTGGAATGTATCATCCTGTCAACTCATTTCCCAAAAGAACTTGGGAAATTAAAAGAACTAAGACACTTTAAAGGGACCTAAAGCCCACTCCCCTCAATATCCATAATCCACATGAGTCTGTCATGGAGAAGGTGTAAACACTGGGATGGGCAGTTACCTTCAGCTCCAAGAGTAGGGATTTCTAAGAAGGAGTAAATACGTGGAACGGGAAGAGGCAAGGACTGAAGTAAGAAAAAGAAAATCAAGGAGAATGACTGCGTCTAGGAAGTCAGAAGAGGACCAGAAGACTTAGCAATAGTCTTGGTTACTTACTCAGGGCTGCAAGTAACCATGATATCCATGTCAGGAAGGAAGGACCCAGTCCAAGGAAGTACATATGGTCCAAAGAGCTAGGGTACGAAAGTAGGAGGCAGGGAGGCAGCTTGTCTTCAGGATGTAAAGCTGAATAAGCAACCCTGTATGTTTGCAGTTCCCTGGTTAATTTCCAGCCATAAAAAATATGGCCCAAGATTTACAAAAATATCCCTAAAACATTCCACATGCGTCTCAAGGCGGAGGGTAATTGTTATGAACAAATCCACACAAACTCTTGTGCCAAGAGCAACAAGTTGAGGATAAGGAAGGAATAGGAAACATGAAAAAAAGGGCCAGTCAGAAACCAGAATGACAGATGTGGGCTATCCTCCCCTCCCAGCAAAACAAGAGGGCGGGAGGTCCTTACAGCACCTCGAAGGCTTATCGCGGTGGGGAAAGATCCAGCACAACAGTCCTAAAGGGTATTTCCATGGTGGAGGATGCTCTGGCGGTGCAGCTGTGGGAACATCAGGTAGGAATTCACCGTAACCCTGCAGAATCTTCCTTTGACATGGCAGCCTCTGGACCTGGAGGGAGATCATCCAGGCCAACCCCCGTCTGTCCCGGAATCCCCTCCTCACGGGCTCCTTCCTAGCCAGTTTCTGCCTCAGCACTCTCAGGTGTGTTGACGTATAAGAAAGCTCTCTCCCATATTGAGCCAAACTCTTCCCTGGAGAATAGCAGAAGAGCAGGAAGAGTTGGGGGTGGGAAGTGTACCTTTCCCTCGAGACTCCCTCGGGTACCTGAAGTCTAATGTCCCAAGCTAAACATCCCTCAGTCCCTTTACTTTCTGTGACATGAGTTCCAGTCCGCCACTCTCCTGGCCAGTGTCCTGGGGACATGCTCAGGTTGGAACAGAGTGGGGAACTCCTGGGCCAGGCCTCCCTCCCTCCACCACTCTGTAGCTATCAGAAGACTGTTCTGGTGCAACAGCAGCTGTGTCTCCATGCACACACACACACACACACACACACACAAAAGAGTGCTAGACCCTTGCTACAATGTTTAGTCACATGGAAAGCAACTCCTTAGCTACCCCTTATCTGCCCCCCACCAAAAAATTCGTCTGAAAAGTTTGTTTTGTTCCTGACAAAAATCCATGGTGAGGATATCAAAGTCCCTTGTGGCTGCCACTCGGCCAGTGTCACCCTTCCCTCCTTCCTTCCTCTCCACTTTGGTCCTTCCTGTGCTGAGACGGAGCCTTATCAGGGCCTCTACCCCATCTTCAGTTCTGTATACAGTTGTACTGTTCACCTCCCAAGGGTGCCCCTCACCCCTAGTAAGCACGGCCAAAGAAAGAGAGTTCACAAAGCATAGCACGGAACACTGACAGGCGCTGAGTCAGGAAACATTTAGTTCCCACCTAACAAAATGAGATCCCAACCCACCCAGGCTGGAAACGGAGGGAGGCTCTCAGCCTGGTCAAAGGGGCTGAATCCCTGAGCCTCCAACACCTGCTCCTGGGCTCCTCCTTCCTCTTAGAGACCCCTGAGGGCACCTCAGGTCAGGAATCCAGCCACCTCTTTGAAGCAAATCCAATCCCAGCCCTTCAAGGCTGGCCATGGACAGAGTCTCCCCACAGGGGAGCAGCTGGAAGGAGCCAGGGCTGTTAAGACCCAGCTGCATGAAAAAAATGGCTGCTTGCTTCTGTGTAGTGTCTTGAAGTTTACTGACCATTTTTACACTGATCATCTCATTTGGTTCTCGGCATAATCCAGTGATATGGATAGGACTGGAGTAATGTTAATTTTCCAGATGAGGAAGTTGAGGCCTGGAGAGGAGAAAACATGAATTCCACAAATTTGTATAACAAATCAGAGAAAGAGTTTATTTTAGAACCAAAGTCTCTAATCTCTTTCTATCAGTATTGACACACTAACAGCCTTAAAATGCACCCACCTTAAATACTTTATGCATTCAGCAAGAGCCCAGTGAAGGGCCCCAAAAGTTGAGACTCAAAGCAAGCAGCCCCTGTCCTGCACTTCAGCCCTGAACTCACGATGGCACAGTGGCGTCCTCTGAGTACAGACATCTGTATGAGCCCAGAGGAGCACGTGGCCACACACTGGGGCAATGCAGGTCCCGCCGATGCAGGAGGAACATTCCCACGGATGACCACAGTCTGCACCAGGCTGTTGCTCTGGGAGATGAGAGAATCAGCAAGCAAAGAGCTGCCGGCCCTGCCCAGTCTCTCAGGGGCAACAGCCTAGGCCCGAAGCTGGCAAGCGCCCACCGCTTGGGTGTGACTCGGCTGGGTGCCCAGTCCTGCAGCCCGTCCAGGTCTCAATTCCTGGTAACACCCTAGTGCTTCACCCTCTTGCATATGGAAGAAGAGTCATCAGTCTGGCTGCAGCCCAACCTCAGCAGCTGATTGGAACGGGAGCAGAAGTCTTCACTAGACTAACCCTTTTTCCACTAGCTTATTCAAACTTGAGCTTTAAAGCTATTATTTCAAAGGACTGGACATCAGCCTCATAAAATATGCCTCTTTTCTAAACAAGCACATTTTGTCATCCACAACAGGAACACATTTAGCACCCTTCTAACTAACAACCTGCAAAGAAATTCCTGATGTCATTCAGTGTTTACCAGGGATTTCCTACATGCCGTCACACAAACATTCACCGACGGGCTCACCACGGGCAAGACACTGTGCAAAGTGGGATGTAAAGATACTAGGGAGAGGATTTGGCTTGCTCAGTTCAAATCCCAGTTCTTGTATTTAATAGCGGTATGACCTTGGGCAAGTTACTCAACTTCTCTGTGCCTCAGTTCTCGTATATGCAAAATGGTGATACTAGGGCCTAGCTCACAGAGTTACAAGAATTCAATAAGATAGTCACATCTAAAAGCGCTTTAAACAGTGCTCTAAATGCAGAAAGCCCTTGAAAAATGCTAGCTATTATTAAAGGTATATTTTTACTTATTCCTTTCAATATCCCAATGAAATGGGAACTGTTACTATCCCCACTTCACAGATGAGAAAATCGGTTCAAGGCATTCAACAAGTTTGTCAATGTCATAATGCTAGTAAGAGGCAAACTCAAGACCCTAAACAAGGTTTGTCTGAATTCCATGCTCTTATTCACTGTACTGAACAATGCTACAATCAACTTTTCCCCCAGAAAACGAAACACACACACACACACACACACACACACACACACACGCTTGCATGTGGGCACCACAAAAGCTCAAATATAAATTTGGAAGCTTCCTGGTCCCTGAAACCCCTCCACCCCACCCCCTGTAGAGCCTATGAGAGATAGGTCAAGAAAGTTTGCTTCAAGAATTTTCTTTCCCCACCCTCCCCCAAGTTTTTAATTATGAGTAATTTCAAGCATTAAAGAGAGTCAAAAGAATAGAACAATGAACATCCATATAACTTCCACCTAGACTTAACAATTCTTCACACTTTTGTGATCATAGGCTTCTCTATTTATATTTCTGCTAAAACATTTGAAAATTGTAGACACCGTAACATCAATCATAGCATCACCCTTCTCTGTGATTGTTTGTTAGAGTAAAACGAGTCTTGGTAATAGATTCTATCGAATTACTGTTAATATTCTTGGGTGTAATTTGCTTGTTATTATGACAAAGATCTTTATTCTTAGGAGCACATGATAATAAGGTTAAGGATCTCCAGGTAAGATCAGCCTTCATTATCCAGGTGGGCTCTAAATCCAGTGCTAAATATCTGCTAAGAGACACACAAAGAGACATTCAAAGAGAAGGAAAACACCCTGTGAAGAAGGAGGCAGCTATTGAGGTGACGCAGTCATAAGCCAAGGGATGCCTGGGGCTGCCAGAAGCTGGAACCAACAGAAGGCTTCTCCTCCAGAGCCTTCAGAGGGAATGTGGCCCTGCCAACACCTTGAGTTCAGATTTCTGGTCTCCAGAACTGAAAGCAAATACATTTTTGTTGTTTTAAGTCACCAAGTTTATAGTAATTTGTGGCAGCAGCACAGTCCTAGAGAACTAATATCCCCTAGTCACGGGGTCCCTGATACACTGTTGGAGCAAAGCGTGTGTGCTGAATTGAAAAACTGAAACAGCTGAGAGTGGCTTTATGCCTTTTTCATATCCCACAGCCAGGGAAGCACCTCCAAAGGCCACTGGACTCTGGCTAACAAATATGACACCAGAATAGGTGTCAACTGAACAATTTGTTCCTTTTAATCAGGTGTTTTAACCCCACTCTGTATTCATTGTTCTGCCCTCCTTAATTTTACTGTAAGTGACTGAATTGACTTTTGATGTATTGCCAGCACACAATAAATTATGAGCCTCTCTCTTTAAGGTTGGAGAGGGGAGGAACTCTACTTCCCTGTTCAGTTATTTCAGGCAAGGGTGGGAGCAGGTTTTCTGTGCCAGCAGCATCCTGATTATGATTCAGGATGTGTGGCCGAAGGCAAACAGTTCCTCTTCAAATTCAATCAAATAGGAAGGAGCAAAGGCCCAAACAAGAAAAGCCTGGTTCTCTTTGTGTGCACAGCCAAGGGGTCCTGGGAAGCTCGTGAGGGATGACACCCTATCTCGGCAAGACTGAGCATAGAGCGGTATTCAAGAAATTCTGCACATATTCGAAACGGGCTTCCAATCCTGGCCTTACAGAACCACATTTTGGACAATACGAAATCCACTGCAGGGGAAGTTATTTGAAGGCTAAAGGGGCAGAGGTTAACTAGAATTAACGTGTCTACTTTTTAGTCTCTTCTCCCTAAGAAGAAAAAATATTCTATATGCAACTTCTATGCTGTTGATTGTGTCTCCAAGGGGCCCAAGTGACTACTTCCACTTGTACATACATGGTGCAACTCGAAACAGGGATTTTTCACTCAGTAAGCCATGACCCATTAATGGATTGAGAAATCAATTTAGCAAGAGGGCCAGCAATTTGGCTTAAATGAATGGAAGAGGAGAGGAAATCTTTGAGTACATCTTGCATAGTAAAAGGGTAAATATCGTACCACGAAATTCTCCTTCAGTCTTATACAGATGCTCCTCAACTTACGATGGGTTCATCCAGACGTAACCTAAGGACCATACTGAATGCATATCACTTTCGCGCCATTTTAAAGTTGAAACATCACATATGGAACCACTGTGAGTTGGGGACTATCTATATGTGTTTGGGTCACTGGTTTGTAATAGAAAAGATACTCCTCACTGTGAGTCATGATCCAAAAAAGTAAGAAAGCCACTGACTTAAAAGAATAGATTCCACCAAACCAGAAAGCACTCTGTCCCCTCAGCCAAGCCCATGTTCCTGAGAGCACTGTTTGCAGTTACAATAGGGCACTCAGTTAACAGGGACAATTCACCATGCACCTGAGAGGGGTTGGCATCTGAAACCAAGGCATGCCCATTCCCTGGCAATCCACTGGCATGTCTTTCTCCTGTTCAAGCCCCTCCATGCGTGAGGCTCATCCTCTTGGTTCTTGAGATCCTATTTCTTTTTTATTTTTATTTTTGAGACGGAGTCTGGCTCTGTCGCCCAGGCTGGAGTGCAGTGGCGCGATCTCGGCTCATTGCAAGCCCCACCTCCTGGCTTCACGCCATTCTCCTGCCTCCACGCCATTCTCCTGCCTCAGCCTCCAGAGTAGCTGGGACTACAGACGCCCAACACCACCCCCGGCTAATTTTTTTGCATTTTTTAGTAGAGACAGGGTTTCACCGTGTTAGCCAGGATAGGATGGTCTCGATCTCCTGACCTCGTGATCCACCCGCCTCAGCCTCCCAAAGTGCTGGGATTACACGCGTGAGCCACCACGCCCAGCCTTGAGATCCTATTTCTATACTGTAGTAGAGCCTCTCGCAGTTCACTTCCATCTTGCCGGGACCCACTCTTCGCCCTCTGTAGCCCTAGAAACTCCACAGCCTTTTGCAATGACTCTGAAACTGACCCACCACAGGGGGAGTTCCTAAAGTCTTTGAGGAAGTCATTAACCATCTTCTTTGTATTTTTTTACTCCAATGTGTCCAATTTCTCCTTTGCCATTTTTCCAGGAATATGGTTGCCCTGTCCTCCATTAAGAATTCTCTTTCATGCAGCAATTTGAGGACTCTCCGAGCCTTATGGTCTAATACTGCGGCAAATGTTCCACAGTGATGTCCTGTTCCCTGCAGGGCCTGCCTCATGGATCCACTATGGACTTTCCAATCACACACAGTTAAAGACTGTAACTAGAGGCCGGGGGCAGTGGCTCACACCTGTAATCCCTGCACTTTGGAAGGCCAAGGCAGGCAGATCACCTGAGATCAGGAGTCCGAGACCAGCCTAGTCAACATAGTGAAACCCTGTCTCTACTAAAAATACAAACATTAGCCAGGCGTGGTGGTGGTGCCCGTAATCCCAGCTACTCAGGAGGCTGAGGCAGGGAGAATAGCTTGAACCCAGGAGGTGGAGGTTGCAGTGAGCAGAGATCGCGCTTTGCACTCTAGCTTGACCGACAGAGTGCAAATAAATAAATAAATAAATAAATAAATAATAAATAAAAATGAAAGACTGTAACTAGAGCTTTCTGATCTCACATAATTAGGGGCTACAGCTAGGTTAGTTGAATGGTATAGAATGGAGCATGCATTTTGGCATCAGCAAAACTGGATCTAAGTTTTGATGCTGTTGCTTTGCTGGCTATTGACCCTGAGCAAATTGCTTAACTCTTCTAAGCTTCATCTGTAAAATCAAGATAATACCCATCTGAAGGGAGTTGTTGGAGTCTACTTTTTAAAAAAAATAGGTTGAAGTTTCTGTGATGAATTCTTCTTGGACATCTTATGAATGGACTTCCAAAAAAGGCTTTACTCTTTCAATGTTTTTAGAAATCTGTAGTACCCAGGAAAAACATACAAAACAGAGACAAAACAGAGAAAACATACAAAACAGAGAATATATTTTCAGAAATGTATTTCTGAAAAAAATATATGGTCTAAAGAGTCAAGTCGTTCCTGCCACTTTAGAATTACAGAAAGTAAAAAAAGGGAGGGAGGGAGGGAGGGAGGGAGGAAGGAAGGAAGGAAGGAAACTCTACATTTGGGCTGACCTCCCATGACTGTGCCACAGAGGTTTTCTCACTCTTGCATTAACATCAGACCATGTGCATCTTCCTGCCAGCAGCATCGTCTGGTTTGGCAGGACTGCAAATCTGTTTCAGCACAAAGGATCCGCTTAATGGAAAGCAAGCGTGCTGCAGGAAAAAAAAGAAAGAAAAAAAAAAACGGCACTCACATTTCCTTGTGCACTCTTTATCAAAGGAACAAATGGCACAATAACCCAACATAACCAAGGCTGTAGTTGAAGAAACTGCCTTTTACCTCTGGGACTAATCTTTCTTCTAAGGTGGCCATGGATGGTGTGGCATCAAAAGGCATGCAGGTGACTTAGAATGGTTTTTAAAACCTTTAGCAGTGCCTCTGGAGCCCACAATAGAAAAAATACCAACACTTCCATTTTTAAATGGTTAAAAACGTAAACAGATAATTCAGAGAAAAAGGAATAAAAAGTTGCCAGTAAATATATTAAAATGTTTAAGTTCACTAATGATCAAAGACATCTGTAAAAGTAAAACCAGAGCTCCATACACTCTAGTTGAATTTGTAAATATTGAAAAATACAATTAATGTTAGTGTAGGTATGACAAATCCAGCATTCTCTGCTGACAAGACTAGAAAGGATAAACCTTTCTGACAGCAATTTGGCAATAATTTTAGACATTTTATACCCTTTGGATAGTAATTTAAATTCTTCCAATACATCAAAGAAAAATAATCAGATACATAAGCATGGTGACATGTAGACATAACTATAAAAAATCCTCATTACAGTAATGTTTATAATAGTGAAAAAATTGACCACAACCTAAATGTCTAATAAGGAAATTGGCAAATAAAGGATGGTTCATCAATATGATAGAATATTATATAGACATTTAAATTAAGTTTTCAAAATTTGTAACGGTATGGGAAAATGGGGTATAAAACGTTGCAAGCAGACTATTCCAAATTAGGTAAATAAAGGCATAGATAAAAGAAGGTTAAAATGAAATATACTAAAAAATCAGCAGATGTCATCTCTGGAGGGTGAAATTATAGGTAAATTTGTACTTGTCTGTATTTCCAAACTTTTGAAATTGGGCATATATAGCTTTTATCATTATGTGCTCTACTCACTACCATGTTATCCCAGCATTCTAGCAGGTGGTAGGGTGACTTACGGCTGGACACTTAGCAGTCCACTCTGCATGCTGGACAATGTGAAGAATGCGCGTACCATAAGCAATCCCAGACCTCAAGGGGTGTAACACATACAGAGATAAACGATGCTAATACTCATCTTAAGGGAGTTGTCGGAGTCTGTTGTGGAGGCTGCTGGCGGGGCCGACCTGACCTACCGTAACTTCCCCGTTCAGCTGCTGAATGTTGGCTGCTGGCAGCTCACAGCTGAGTCCCTCTCCAGGTAATATATAACTCCAAGGCTATATATAATTATGATCTGCACAGAGCCTTGAACATAGTAGGTACACAATAAACCAATTTCAGTAACAGATGAACAAAATAAGCAGTAAATGCTACTACAATATGACGGACAAGAATCCTATGTCCTGGAGGAGAGAAAAGAACACAGTTCAGGGAAGGGTCCATAGAGTGGCTGGTACTTTCATTGGAGCTTAAAGGAGAGGCTAACTGTGTGCATGTGTGGAGGAGAGGGGAGGAGAGGATCTATGGTAGACATAGGTATTTCTCATGGGCAGACCAGAGATACTTACTGTGACTTCATTGGCATGGTAGTGTCTATGTGCTCATTTCAAGCCATGTTAGAGCCTCCCTAAATGTTTATCTTTTTGCTGCAGCAGCAAGAAACAAATGGAGGCACAGGACTGTTGGGCCACACAGCAAGTAGCATTTGCTGTTCAAGGCAAGAAAAATGGCCTCTGCATGTCCATCCCTTGGTCATGATTTCATCTGAGTGCTGACTGTGGTGGATTCTGAGGAGCTAGTCTTACTGAATCCCCCTCATGGATGCCACACTTTACATGTAGCCAGCACTTCCAGATACAGCCTCTTGCTTAATCTCCTACCATCCCATGTAGTCTTCTCAGTTTACAGTAAGAAAATGGAGGCTGACTGGAGTGAAAGGGAAGTTTAAACTCACAACTGTCTAGTGATAAAAACCAAAGCTTCAGTTTAGTCTAGTGCTTTTCCCCTAATGCAAGATTAAGCTGTGATACCATCCTGGAAAACTACTCTTCTCAAAAAATGTTGCCTATCTCCTCCTTTTTACATTAAAATAAACAAATGAACCCGTCCAATCCTGTGCACATCTCTCTTGTTTTGAGGTCACTGTGTACTTCAGCATTTTGGGGTGTCAGATAATAACACAAGTAAAATATAAAAACGTGGTAGTTAAGGATTTTCAAAAGGAGTGATCAGAATTCACTCCATACATATATTAATGGTCCTTAGTCAATTCCCCTTTACTTCCACCAAATTTCCATAGAAATCTGTGAGACAGAAAAGATTAAGAGTTATTGACAGAGAACTGCAACATAACCTGAGTGGGTTTGTCTGGACACCAAAGTCTACTCTGAGCTTCTGGATCTCTAGGGGAAAATCAACAAGTATTTATTGAAAGCTACAAAAAAAATATGATACTCAGTGATTAGTGGAGGTTTTCATGTAATCTGCAAGGATTTTTATAAGCAAACCTTGTAGATAATGATGAAGCAAGAACTTTCTATTAGAAAACAACTCTCTTATTGCCAAAATATAAATATACACACACACAGACACATATATATCCTAAGACAATTGGAAGCCAAAATGGAATTGGCCTCTTATATAGTCAACCCTGTGCAACAACAAGGCAAGAAGTGGTCAGAAGACAGGGCATATTCTAGTAAGTGGGCTTAATATTTTTAGAGAATTTTACAAAAATTCATAAGGTTGTATTCATTTATTTTCTGTTGCTATCATTGAATACCTGAGACTGGGTCGCTTATAAATAAAAGAAATTTATTTCTTACAATTCTGGAGGCTGGGAAGTCCAAAAGCATGGTGCTGGCCTCTGGTAGGGCCTTCGTGCTATGTAGAAGGCATCACATGGAGAGTGGCAAAGACTATCTGTGTCAGCTCAGGCCTCTCTTCTTCTTCTTATAAAGCCACCAGCCACATCATGGGGGCCCCACTCTGACAACTTTATCTAACCCTAACAACCTCCCAAAGGCCCTATTTCTTTTCTTTTTTTCTTTTTTTTTTTTTTTGAGATGGAGTCTGGCTCTGTCGCCCAGACTGGAGTGCAGTGGTGCAATCTCGGCTCACTGCAAGCTCCACCTCCCGGGTTCACACCCTTCTCCTGCCTCAGCCTCCCGAGTAGCTGGGACTACAGGCATCTGCTACCACGCCTGGCTAATTTTTTGTATTTTTAGCAGAGACAGGGTTTCACCATGTTAGCCAGGTTGGTCTCGATCTCCCAACCTCGTGATCCACCTGCCTCGGCCTCCCAAAGTGCTGGAATTAGAGGCTTGAGCCACCAAGCCCGGCCCAAAGGCCCTACTTCTAGTCAACATAAGAATTTGGGGATTATGTTTCCAACACATGAAATTTAGGGAGCACATTCAAACCACAGCACTGGCTAAGAAATCTAAAATACTCATTTAAAGATGGAAAAGCTGAAGCTAGGAGAAGAGACTTGACCCAAATATATTTGGGTAACTAGCTTTAGTATCTATACCAACATCCTGGAGGAACTCATCAAGTATTGACAAAAAAGGTTCTACATGATCCATTGTTTTAAAAAAGAGACAGAGTCTCATGGTGTCGCCCAGGGTGAAGTGCAGTGGCTATCCACAGGCATGATCCTAGCACACTGCAGCCTCCAACTCCTAGGCTCAAGTGATCCTCTGGCCTCAGGCTCCCAAATAGCTGGGACTACAGGCACACACCATGTACCCAACCATGATCTATTTTTATGAATAAAAAACTTGTGGATTTCACATTAACATTCAAATATTTCACTTGCTAGAAAGATGACGAAGAGTTTAGTTTCTTAGCTGTATGAAGGCTTCTGCCCGCCTGACCTGATTTACTGTGTTAATCAACCCACTATGTCTTTCTTTACAGATAATGTTATGGTGAGTGCCTGCCTCCTTCCCAGGTATTAATATATTTTTCTAAATTCTGAATTAACGAGATCCTAATACATAAAGGGATTTATCAGAGAATTCGGTTTTTGGTTTTTTAAGGTTTGGAGGGGTTTTGTTGTTGTTGTTGTTTAATCCAGGGGTTCTCTTTCTCTCATCTTATTTAATCCTGGATAAAAGTTAAAAAAATCCTGCATACAGCTACTGTCACAAAGCCAGCTGAATCAAAAAACCTTCCCCACAGCCTATATCCCTCCTCTGAGTGGTTGGTCTGAATTTCTAGAGTTAAAAGATTTCTTTCTCTGGGTCCTTTGAAATAACCGTAATTAACACTTACGTAGAGGCTTATGATACAATGGTATCGTCTAAAACAGGAGTCAGCAAACTATGTCCTGCAAAAGATTAGCAGTTGCAACAGAGACCATATGTCCCACAAAGCCAAAAATATTTACTGGTTGGCCCCTTACATAAAGTTTGCCATGCCCTGACATTCACTATCACATGGATCCTCGTAAGCACCTACCAAGAAGCTTCTTCCTGTTTTCATAGCCACAAGGACTTCAATATGAACAAGTATTCGAATTGACTTCTGAAACACTGCCTGCGAAGAATACCAACTTAGGGGTGGAGGGGGGAAAGGGGCAGGGGACGGTAGAGACGAGGATTAGAAATTTGACCCCAGTAAAGAAAATTAGCCATATGGAGAGAAAACAGAGAAAAAACTCCATGCTCTCCTACTGAACAGGATGCCCAAATGCCAGGACTGTTGTTCCACAAGCCTCTCCCCTTCCCCACGTTCCCCCTAAATATCCTCAGGCTTATACAGTGGTGTGTTGAAGCCAGCTTGTGTGCTCATGAGAGGCAACTGTGTGCATCGTGTTCGGGCTCCACGTTCAGTGACATCACATTGGTAGTTTGACATCAGCCATGATAAAAGTATTTACACCACAAAAATCAGCAAAAGCTACAAATCAGGGCTTTCCCCCGCCACCCGCCCCCTCCCTCCAGGGCTGACTGTTAAACATTTCCTACCACACCACAGCAGATATGTACATATATACATATGTACATACATACATACATAATTTCACATAAAAGGCACCATGTCATACATGGTATTTTCCCCTTCAGCTGCCAAATGTTAGCTGCAGACAGCTCACAGCTGAGTCTCTCTCCAGGAATTGCCCTAAGCTGAAGGGAACTGCCGCACCCCAGGTCTGCTTCCCTCCCTAGGGCAACCTCCTTGCAACTACTCCTCAAGGCCAAGATAAAAAGTGAAAAGGCCAGACTCATCTTAATGCAGAACAACTTCAGCTCCAAAGCTCCTCCGGGTTCAGCTGGGACTTCTGTTGCAATTGCATTAGAGAGAGAGGGAGTGAGAGAGGGAGAGAGAGGGAGAGAGACAGAGAGAGAGAAAAGAGAAGAGAGAGGAGAGAGGAGAGAGGGGAAAGGGGAGAGGAGAGAGGAGAGAGACAGAGAGAGACAGAGAGAAAAGAGAGGAGAGAGGAGAGAGGAGAAAGGGGAGAGGAGAGAGGAGAGAGACAGAGAGAGAGAGAGACAGAGAGGAGAGACCCATTTGTCCACAACCAACTTCTCTCTTCATCTCCCATCTTGAGTTACCTATTTCAGTTCATTTTTGATTTGCTTAAGGTTCTTTCTGGAGTATTTTTCTCAGATGGGATACCTGGATAATATACTTTTCTCTTTTCAGTGACTTTATTTTAATGAGTTTTCAGACTTACAGAAAGGTGCTCTTCAGATGGGGCTGTGTCACTGGTCAACCATCTTCACTGTGGAGTCCTAGTCACTACGATTTTGTGTTGCATATCATGAAGATTCATTCAAATTGTCTCCTCTTCCTTTCCTTCATAATAGGTTACATGGTCTGAAAGTACATCCCTCCTTCTCTAGTACATTGTATTCAAAGAGGTTGCTGCTGCTTCTCCATTGTCATTAATCTTCTCATCATCTTCTTATTCCTCTTAGCACAGTTGGGGCATAATATGTTATCTTCTATGCCTGGGGATGGGAAAATGCAGGCAGGTAACAAGAAGAGAGAAATCATCCTCCTGTGAGTGGTAGGCACCCAGGCCTGATCTGCATGAAACTGCAGGTGTACCCAGCTCTTTGTGTCTGCTGAGAGACGTCTGCCATGGACCACACACCACCTGACATCAGAGGTTTGCATCCAAAAGGCCTCAACAGAAACAGGAATGGAACATGAATTTACAGCCTTTGGCTGAACAGCTCTTGCACCAATTCTTGCCCATGATGCCAACATGGATGCCTGCACTGAAGTTATCACTTCAACTATATTAGTCTCTCTGTTCTTTCATTCATCTCATAACTTTTCTGAAGCCTCTTGCTCTCTCGGTCACTGCCTTGTGTTTTCTCGAGCATCGCTGTAATCTGGTCTTATGTGATGTTTCAGGCGTATCTTGCTGTTGTTCAGGGAAAGCACGCCTACGGAGCCTCAGATAAACTTCTATTTTCTTGCCATTAGCACTCAAACCAAGTTGTTGACACCAGTCCCGCTAAGTGTCCCGACACACCTTATTAATGGGAGGCAAAGTGGTCGGCAAGGGAAGGGCTGGTATTTTGCACCAGCTTTTTGTGGAGCTGTAAATTGTTCATGTGTTTGAAGTGATGACCTTGATTATATTTCTTAGGCTTCTCCAGTTTGACATCAGAAGTTGAAGAAATACTTGGTTCCATTTGTTCCATATTTGGGTCATCTTTAACTGGCACCAGTGTCAAAATCACACTTCCCTCATCAACTACTTCCCCCCTCAAAGAAATTCTTCTTGCTGCTATCCAAATTTGAGTCTGACATTTTCAGCAACACCCCTGTCTTGTCCACTCAGTGATACGATTTTTAAAAATTAGGCCGGGCGCGATGGCTCATGCCTGTAATCCCAGCACTTTGGGAGGCCTAGGCAGGTGGATTGCTTGAGTCCAGGAGTTCAAGATCAGCCTGGGAAACATGGCAAGACCCCCGTCTCTACCAAAAAAAAAATATAAAAATTAGACAGGCACTGTGGCGCGTGCCTGTAATCCCACCTACTCGGGAGGGTGTAACTTTTCTTTTTCCCCTGGCCAGCAAAAGGTATTTTAGCTGGCTCAAGTATTTTATAGACCTCATTCCCCTATTTCCAGCTTCCCGTTATTATAGGTGAGAAGTGTGACACTGTCTCTTTTCTGTTTCTTGGTAATTAATGTTTTTCTCTTTGTATTAAAGGGTGCAAAAGGTTCTCTTTTTACCTGCTATTCAAGAATTTAATTTGGATGGGTTTAGGTATGTGACTTTCAGGAACCCCACGAGTTCTTTTTAAACCTCAGACCCAAGTCTTTTTCACTCAAAGAAATTACCTTCTATCATTTATTTAATGATTCTCTCTTTCGTGTGTTCATTTTTCTCTTTCTCTTGCAACTCCTATTAGGTCTCCTGGATCTAGCCTCCTAGTCTCCTCTTTTGCCCTTAAGATTTCCACCTCTGTGTTTTTGTTCTATATTTGGGATATTCTTGCACTTGGCCTTCTCAGCCTGCTTTAATGTATCCAATGAGTATTTTAGTCAAAGCTCCAGGAAGTCTGTGTTTCTTTGTTTTTGTTTGTTTGTTTGTTTGGGATACTGTGGTTGAATGTCCTTCTTGCACTTCTGCCCTGGCTGTCTATTCCAGCAGTGTGATTTCCATGAAGGGCTGTTCGGCGGATGCTTCCTCTCCCTCTCACTGCCCACTGAGGCCCTGTAGATGCAGAGTTGTTTTTTTGTATCTGTTCTTTGAAGTTCAAGGCCAGCTTCTGGGGGTTCTTTCAGTGATCACAGTCCTGTGAGTGGTGGGAGGGATGGCCCCTGTGGGCCATTAGTGTAGCTGGATATAAGGGGTCAGTCCCAATTAAGGCACGGGAAGGAAGGAGGCCTCTCAGTCCCACCACGTCCCCACGTTCAGCTTCTCTTCAGCAATCTGAGACCAGGAAAGCCCATTCATGAATGCCAAGGTAGCCCTTTCCATGGGTCCACGAGTCTAAAGGAACCAAGCGCAGGGCCTGCCACAATTACAGCCTCATCCCCAAGCTTTCCACCCACTGATTTACAGAGGAGAAATCCCCTCCCCAGCTCTCTTCACCGGGCCAAGATTTGAGTAGAGGGCCGACAGGGCACCATGTAATGAAAATCTCTATCTCGCCCCCAGCCCTTTCATAGACATCCAGGACACCCTGGATCTACTGTCCCTGGCAAATGCCTCCTTAACTTCTGAGATGGTTTAACTCTTTGTTCTCCACATCTCAAATCCAAGACACCCTGGCGAATGCCTCCTTAACTTCTGAGATGGTTTAACTCTTTGTTCTCCACATCTGATTTCTTTGGATGAGTCATTCAAAGTTATGTGCATTAATGACAGATCCTTGAACAATTAGATTCACTTTAAAATTGTGTTCATTGGGAAAACAACTGGGTGAAAAGGGCAGATTACAAAGCACGTGTGTGTGTGTGTGTGTGTGTATCTCCCACATACACGGATATATCACATATACTCAGAAAAATGTTGGCATGGACGAACACCAAATTGTTACCTGTAGATGATGAAGTTATAAATACTTTTATTGTCCGCCTTTTTCTTATCTAAATTGTGTAATATTTCTTGTTTATGAAAGACAAAAGAGCCTGTTCAATTGTTAATTCAGCAAAATGCATTACAAAATGTCATTTGACTCTTACAGGTATTTTCAGAGGGTGTGAGGAGGGAGATGGCAACTCCACCTCTTCGTCTCAGTGTCTGTCAATGAGAGCCCACCTTGAGAGCCCCACGCTCTCAGCAGGCTCACCAGGCTGTTAGTAACCGGTAGAGAAAAGGAGGAGCACAGACAGAAGCTTCCTGCCCAGAGTCACCCAGGACGGCCCCCGCCCAAGGATGGACCCCAGCCTGGAACTGGCTCCAGAAGCAAAGGTTAGACCCCTCTGATTTCCCAGGTGTCCCCAGTTGTCTAGTGCTGGCTTAAAGAGGCTGGACAGTCTCTCAGAGAAGAACCATTTCCAGGTGCCTGCTGAGTCTCCAGCACCAGGCACCAGCACTTAGCAGCCACTCGGGAAACTGGCTGAATGAATGATCTCACAGCCTCTCGGTTCACTTGATAAAATCAGACACATTAGTAGCTGTCATTGCTTACTCTTGGGCCGTCTTTGGATTTGCAATTCCATCTAGGTGAGGCGTCAAAATTTGAGTTGTATAGGAAGATTTCAGCTCAACAAAAGGATTCACAAAAGGATTTGTTTAGGAAGATTTCAGCTCCTGCTGGTTCACACAAGAGGCTTCCTTTCAAAGAGCTGAATTCCCTATCAGTGGGCATGGCCTAGAAGGGGCTGGCTATCTCCTGTCAGAGGCGATACGGAGGAGTTCCGTGCTGGCTATGAAGAGAGACCAGATGTGCTCTGAGCATCCCTCTAATTCAAACTCTATGACAGATGCAATTCCTGGTTCAGAAATCTTACGCAAATTTGCCTCTTCCTTCCAAAAATATTCTTCAACCCTGATGTCATTCCTGTGCCTATTAAAACTCTCCTTTGAGGCAGCCAACTATGACTCAAGGGAAAGGTTGAGTGGGTCCTTGTGGCGACCATGAGAGCAGCAGGCCTCCCTGACCCAAGAAAGCCTCCTTGGAGCACCCTGGACTGGCCTGGGATCAGTTAAGGAGAGTTTTACGGAACTGTGTCCTGGTCTGCTCCACAGGTATTTGAAGGAACAAATCCCAAGGAAGACATATTGTAGGACAGGTGATATTTAAAGTATTAACCAGAGATACAGAAGCACTAGCCACTCAGAAATGTTGTGACACCAGAGACATGACACAGAGCAGGATCTGCAGGTCCTCTGCATCTGCTTACTGGATTGTGGGGAGGTTCCAGGGTGGGGGCCGGGCAGCCAGTGCAGCAGGGCTGTGCTTGAGAAGCTAAGAGCAGCAGCCAGTTACCAACCGGTTCAGAAGGCTTTCAACAGTTGAAGAGCCAGAGTGGCCACACCAGCTAGAAATCAGCCTGGCTCTCCAACCACTTCTGAGCAGGCTGACCTTCTGGCAGAGGCTGCAGCCCCGTTCCTGCAAGCCACATTTTATGGAGTTCTTTTATTAGTCTCTCATGTAACCCATAGCCACATCATAAAATTAAACACCCCATTCTGTACATCAAGTCCACTGACTTCTTGAGCCCTGATTAGCACTGGGCTTTTCCCTCTGGGAGTTCTATTAAAGTAACATTGTAACGGACAGAAAAGGAGTCTTTGCTAGGAGCAGCCAAATCCGCAGACTGACTGAGCTTCTGCTGGAGTCACCATGTGGCACAGCGTGTCCTCCTTTATCGGAAGCGCCTTTGCCAGCTTCCTATCCATCGCTCTCTGCCTCTTTCATTCCTACCCCTCCCCATCCTTCTGTGGTAATCCCTCCCCCCTCCCAAGCTCCTTCCATCTCCTAAGATGACTTAATGCCATGAGTGGTTAAATGCTTGCCTGGAGTCACTGTCAGGGTAGCCCCAACTCACCCCTGAGAATATATTTAGCCTGTGGGTAATCGCCCAGTTGGAGAGGTTATCTTTAGCCTGGCAGAGGTTGGGAGTCAATCTGGGCCATGATATGAACAGCAGAGGGAGGAGGGAAAGGAAAGGAAACGAATACTCCAGAGTCTACAACAGCAGCACTCAAGTGTACTCAGGTGGTGGAGAACTAAAAGTCGAAGTGTGCTTCCTGAAACCTGAGGCTCTTCCGGGAACACCCTGGAATAATGGTCTGCTTCATTCCATCCCATGAACTAAGAACAATTTTAATAGCAGAAAATATGGCTGCATTATGAGCAGACAGTATAAAACCACAAGCACACATGTTCTTTAAAAAAAAAAAAGCCACAAACTCAGCATGATTGGTGGTTTTCAAGCTTTCCCATTCATATCTGTTTACTACTTCTTCATTAGTTTTGTTGCCTGCAGGTGCTAAAGGTTTAAAATGGAAGAACATGCATGGAAAAAATTTACATGGAAAAATTATATTACCTGAGTTAGGGAAAAGACCACTACTATTTGATTTTCAAGGTGGAACGCCTCAGTCCACCTCAGAATACCAAGGGCTGAGCTTGAAAAGCTCCAGGACCTATTTCTAAACTATTCAAGAAAGACCGTGCACTTTCCCTCAGGGCACAGGAGTAACTTTCCTTAACATCGTCCCTCCTTTCCACTCACTAAATCTTCCCTGTTATTGTTTATATCCATGGCCTCTTGGTTGACCTTCCTTATAGAACAATCGATTAGAATATTTTTTCAAAACAACTGAATACTCGCTAGTTACGATTAGAGGGAACCTAGGTCCCAGTGTGAACCAAGGCCAAGAAGCCTCCGGGGGTGGGGAGGGACTCGCTCTGTAGGGAAGGAGACCCGCCAGGCCCTACCCCAGTCAAACAGTCCTGCTCTTTGGAGGGGAAGAGCAGTTCATTCTGAGCGTCCCTCGGCCAGACATATCCGAGTTCTGTGAAGAGCAGCAGGACCAAAAGGGAAATTGGGAAAGACCATCTTGCTGAGGTCTTTCAGGAAATCAGAGCACAGATGGTAGAGCTTTGGGACTGAAAGCTCACACAGAGGGAAGAGGGTTGAATAATCTTTTTTTTCCCCCCAGATTCCCCAGAGCTTTCACTCCAGGGTGCCAGAGGGTGCCCGGCAGGAGCAGGCCCCTGGGAACTCCCAGGACAACCCAGAGGCAGTCCAGACAGCTGGGAGTCCTTTGCTGCGGGCAGGCTCCGGGTACAGTGCCCCTCAGAAGATCATCCCTACTCAGGTGGTGAGGCCTGGGGAAACTCAAGTTACTTTACCATGTACTTCAATAAGTGAGTCATCTCTTAGCCTTTTCTTCCCTAGATTGAATGATGCTCGTTCCATCAACTGGTTTATTAAACGCACCCTTTATTTCGCCATTATATGAGTGCATTTTGGTCCTCTGTTCAACTAGAAGTTACCTTATTTGTCTCTACCAGTGTACACACAGTAACCAACAAGTCGGACATTTACGAATACTTTAACAAGAATCGACCCAACAAATAATTTCCAGATCTCTATCAGTTATGCTCCTTACCATCCATCTTGACAGTGTACTGGCACTTACTACAATGGCCTAACATTTCCTATATCATTTGTGACTAACCGTGCATCCTTAGATCATTTTTCCACCACCCTTGAGTCAGACTAGCCTTTTTCCAGGTAATATTTGAGATATCCAAATTTTATTACTCCACACTTTTAATTACTGAATGTCATTCAGAATGTGCAAGAGTAGTCTTCTAGTTCTCAAGTTCAATGGGCCTTATATCCCTTTTCCAGAGTGCCAACAACTGTAACAATGTCATCAACACCTGCAACTGTATTCAGTTCACAACAGCCTCATTAAGTCATCATAAGAAAAAATAGAAATATTGCATATGCATGCATGTAGCATCTCTGGGAAAAGAAACTTTTAATGACGGCTGCACCTGCGGAAGGAGATGAGTTGAGAAGTTGATGGTGGGAGGCAGAACGTTCACTGTATACGTTTTTGAATCATTTTAATTTTTAGATCATGTGCATGTATTACTTTTTCAATTAAACTTTTTAAAAACTAGCTCTAAACAAACAAACAAAAAATAACAAAGAAAAAGACACAGCCCTGATCCCCTGGGCACTGGCCCTGACGGCTGCCTAGAGTTGATATTATACCCTATGGTGTCAAATGTCTCCTGTGTCATTGGCCCTATGGAATGCCTCACTGAATTCAAGATGGACTATGCAGTGACCTGCCTGGTTCCTGGCCCTCACAGCCCTCTCCCCAATAACTAGGGCAACATGACTTCCGCTTGTTGACTCAATGCTAGACCCAAGCCCCAGGACTAATCCTGTTCCCAGTCTGGAGAGATTTGACGGGCTAGCAGCTTGGGTTACTCTGTCTCAACCCACCTGGTTGCTGGCAGTGTCCTGCTCTTCGTGCTGTCTTGGCAGAGAGTGGTCCAGACCTTGTCTGGTGGAGACACACATCTCCATTTTTAGCTTGCTTGATTGTGAAATTTATCAAGGGGTAAAGAGGAGACAAGAGATACCTATTCGATCACAGCCTTCCCACTCTCCTCCATTTATTCACCAAATGCGGTTACTAAGAACCTTCTATGAGTAGGATACTAAACCAGCCTGGGCAGAAGCAAGTAAGAAGCAAATGAGTATACCAGTGCTCTCCAGGAACTCACAGTCTAGTAATAAACACTAATGGGCTGGGTGCAGTGGCTTATGCCTATAATTCCAGCACTTTGGGGGGTCAACTTGGGAGAATCACTTGAGGCCAGGAGTTCAAGACCAGCCTGGGCAAAAGAGTGAGACCCATCTCTACAGAAATAAATTTATTTTTAAATTAAACTTATTTATTTATGTATGTATGTATTTATTTATTTTGAGACAGGGTCTTGCTCTGTCACTCAGGCTGGAGTACAGTCACAGGCTGGAATGTGATCAGAGTTCACTGCAGCCTTGACCTCCCAGGCTCATGCAATCCTTGCACCTTAACCTCCGTATTAGCTGGGACCACAGACGAGCGCCACCATGCCTGGCTTATTTTTTTTTTTTTTATTTATTTTTTTTTTTGTAGAGATGGGGGTCTTCTTATGTTGCCCAGACTGGTCTCAAACTACTGGGCTCAAGCAAATCTCCTGCCTTGGCCTCCTGAAGTGCCGGTATTAAAGATGGAAGCCACCGTGTCTGGCCAAAAAATTTTTTTAAATTAGCCAGAGGCCAGGTGCAGCGGCTCACGCCTGTAATCCCAACAGTTTGGGAGGCTGAGGAAGGCAGATCACCTGAGGTCAGGAGTTCGAGACCAGCCTGGCCAACATGGTGAAACCCCCTCTCTACTAAAAATACAAAAATTAGCTGGGCATGGTGGCACACGCCTGTAATCCCAGCTACTCTGGAGGCTGAGACAGGAGAATCGCTTGAACCCAGGAGGCGGAGCTTGCAGTGAGCCGAGATGACGCCATTGCACTCCAGACTGGGCTACAGAGCAAGACTCTGTCTCAAAAAAATAAAATAAAATTAGCCAGGCATGGTGGCACACACCTGTAGTCCTAGTTACTTGGCAGGCTGAGGCAGGAGGATTGCTTGAGGCCAGGAGGATGAGGCTGCAGTAAGCCATTATCATGCCACGGCTCTCCAGCCTGGGTGACATTGTGAGACCCTGTCTCTAAAAAATAAATTAAACAAATAAAAAATAAAGACTGATGGAGTCCAACTCAAGAACTTTAATGCAAACAGGCAGGTGTGAGGGAAGAGAGAGGAAAGGATTGCTTTCAATCACCGGCAGCAAGATAAGGAGCAGTCCAGGAAAGTTTTCAGAAGGGGATGACATTGCTATTAAGACTTACGAGCTGAAGGGAATTCAGTAGCTGCAGATAGAGCCTTTCAGATCGAGGAGGTGGCCCGCGAAGGGGATTCCACTGTCACAAAACATAAAGGCTCTGCACTTCCGTTCCCCACTCCTCGGAGAAGGAGGGTAAAACACGAAGGCTCTGCACTTCCGTTCCCCCACTCCTCGGAGAAGGAGGGTGAGAAGAGCTGGGCCCTCAGAACCCAGGACCACATAAGAAGTTTTTTCTGTTTAAGACAGCCTTCTTCTCCACTATTTGTCTGGTAAATACCTCGTCTTCAAGCCCCAGCCTAAGGACGCCTCCTCCGGGAAGCCCACCATGACTTTTCCAGGCAGGGTTAGTTGTCCTGTCTGCTGCACTCCTACTACCCTCTGTTCTAGAGAGTTAGGGAAATTTAGAAGTTAGGCAAACAGGCTCTGCCACCATTCTGCCTGAGTTCAAATCCTTGCTCAGCCACTGCGTTGCTGAGTCATCTGAAGCAAGGCACTCCCCTCTCTGGGCCTCAGTTTTACCATCTGTTAAACGGCGTAACGATGGCACTGTCCTCCTGAAGTCACCGTGAGGATGAAACAAGGCAATGTCCCTAAACCAAGTGCCTGCCGTAGTGTCTGCTCTTGTTACTCATAACCATGGGCTGCTCTTACTGGACGGTGCTTGTGACCGCAAGAACCCTAAGGGCCAGGGCTATTCATCTCTGAATCTCTCTCTGCAGTGTTTAGAGGTGCTGTCCACAAGTCAGGTGTTCAATTTCTATCTTCTGAAGGACTGAACAAAACATGGCTATGAAAAGGGACAAAATGAATCAAGCCTTAATGCAAAGACACAGTAAATGCAGGTGAAATGACGGGAAAGGAGAAAGGAATGTAGGAAAGTAAATGGGGGAGAGGAGACGGTGCACCGCCTTCAGAGGAGAAAAATTCCTATTAAATTCCTGTTCCGCCTGTAATCTCAGCACTTTGGGAGGCCGAGTTGGGTGGATCACCTGAGGTCAGGAGTTCGAGACCAGCCTGACCAACATGGTGAAACCCCATCTCTACTAAAAATACAAAAATTAGCCAGGCCTGGTGGCAGGCGCTTGTAATCCCAGCTACTCGGGAGGCTGACGCTGGAGAATCCCTTGAACCCCGGAGGCGGAGGTTGCAGTGAGCCAAGATCTCACCACTGCACTCCAACCCGGACAACAGAGCGAGACTCTGTCTCAAAAAATAAAAAATTCTCGTTCATCTCTTAACGTGGGGACTTGCCCATTTATATTTGGACGGTATTTTTCTCTGGCTGTCCCACTTCCCGGGGCCTTGGAGCTCCCTCCCCCGCAGGGCGGCTTCTCTCCTCCTCCTCCCTCCTCCCTCCCGCTCCCAGGGGAAGGGCCGCGGCCGCAGCCCTGACCTCGCCTCCCACGCGGGCCAGCAGCCGGCCAGCCCGCGGGCGGGGCAGGAAGGGGGAGCCGAGGCTCCGGGCACCCGAGATCCTTAACTGCAGCTTCCAAAGCCCTGGCTGATCCTAATCAGTGTGGGAAAGGAGCGCCGGGCCCAGCCCGCCGGCCGGAGACGCCGCCTCTTTTCATAAACTTTATCGCCGCGGTGCACAGCCGCTGATAAAGCACCATAAATAAACGAGCGGGCGGGAGTGCGCGGCTGTCTGGAGGCTGCCGGAGCGCACGCCCTGCCTCGGCCCTGCAGCTCCCGGGGGAAATGAATCACACGCCGGGCTGCAAAGAGCAGCATGTTCTCCTCTCCAGACCAAGGCCGTAAATAATAATGCGTTCTTTCCCTACGTGGAGACCCTCACCTTTTGTCTTGTGCATTCCGTAAAAAGCTCAGGAGTTTCCTTCCGGCTGCCTGGCCTCCCCTCCTTGCCCCGGGGGGTTAGGAGTGCTCTGTTCTGACTTAGGCGTTTCCCTAGGGTGGAGCTCCTGGGCCTGGGTTGGGCCTGGGCGTGTGGCTCCGTGATCGTAAGTCCCCTCTGGCTCTTGCACAACAGACCGAGGCTGGAGCAGGGCAGGGAGGCCGCAGTGGGGCCTGGGTTAGGAGGGGGGTGGTTTGACATCTCTAGTGGTAAGTGATGGTGAGCCCGGTTCCCGCCGTGGTGGCCACGGACATGTGTGGTGGATAGCCTGCTGCAGCTGAGTCATCGAGGAACCCTGGGTACAGCTTATTCAGAGGCCAAGGGAGAGTGCATACCCTGATCACAAAGAAAGAAGACTTTGCCCCACTTGATGGCGTGTTCAGCAGGCCGCATGATCCGTGTCCCTTAGCTGTTGAAGTTTTGACTTGGGGGGTGCCCGAAGTTAATCTATGGTACAATTTTGGGGAGTAGAGTTTGAGGATGATTCCATGAACATGAAACAATCTAGAAAGTCAGTGGTGTGTGGAACAGCCCAAAGCAGGCCAGCTCCGCCACAAGGTCCAGTCTCTAACCCAACCCTGCTGCCACTCAGCTCTGTGGCCTCGGGCAGCCACTGCCCTTCTCTGAGCCTCAGTTTCCCCATCCTTCTAATGATCTCTAAAGAGATCTTCCAGCTCTTCTGCTCACTTAGTGAGAAATAACATCCTTGCTATAAATTCTTCCATTTCCGAGGTGTCCCAGCACAGGCCCCTCTGAAGAAACACTGTAATGTCCACTTAGAAGAAACCAGGGCGTGGGCCATTTCTGTAACTGACACCTCGTTAGCGAGATTAGCACTGGAAATTACCTCCTGGGGAGTTTACAGAGGTTCAGGAGCCCTCTAGCCAGAATAAAGTCAGCTTGTGAGGTAAAAAGATTTAAAAATAAAATCCAGTACTTGATTACAGCATTAGGTCAGTGTTTCTCTGCGCCCCAAGGATAAGCTCCATGGTGGCTGGGGTTCTGCTTCCTGTGAGAAGGATTGGCTGGCTTGAAACATCTCATCCCCAAAAGTCAAATGTTTCCTTTAGTGGGAAGCAGGGCCGGGAAGGAAGGAACTTCTGGTTGCAGCTCTAGAGAGTGGAATCTAGGAGTCCTGATAGATTATTTATGGTTCAGCACTCCTAGAGAGTGTGGATTTTGGGAGCTGACTCCTCCAGCCATGGCCAACAAGAGCCGATCACTCATGAAATAGAAATGAACAATGGCAGCCAGGCACCGTGGCTCACGCCTGTAATCCCAGCACTTTGGGAGGCGGAGGCGGGTGGATCACGAGGTCATGAGTTCTAGACCAGCCTGGCTAACATGGTGAAACCATGTCTCTACTAAAAATACAAAAATTAGCTGGGTGTAGTGGCGGGCGCCTATAATCCCAGCTACTCGGGAGGCTGAGGCAGGAGAATTGCTTGAACCGGTGAGGCGGAGGTCGCAATGAGC
Organism: Homo sapiens; assembly: GCF_000001405.40. Taxonomy (NCBI): domain Eukaryota; kingdom Metazoa; phylum Chordata; class Mammalia; order Primates; family Hominidae; genus Homo; species Homo sapiens. The sequence goes on from NC_000003.12 coordinate 194,005,118, forward strand.
CGAGACAGTGCCACTGCACTTCAGCCTGGGCGACAGAGTGAGACTCCATCTAAAAAAAAACAAAAATAAAAAATAAAAGACATGAACAAAGGCCTGGTTCTTCTAGTACCCATTTCTGACACCACATGTCCCAGGAAACATGTGGCCCCAGACAGCCTTCATTTCCTGCTCTCCGGACAGAAGGCCACTCAGTCTTGTTTCCTTTATTTGCATAATGTCAAGAAAAATGAGTCACACCAGATTGTCATGTGTTAAGTAATATTGGCAAAGGTTTCCAACTGAGTTTAGAGTTGATTTCTTACCAAGGAACAATCACTCACTCTATTGCTGATTTATTACGATGTGAATGTGATCATTCTCTGAGTCTCAGTTTTCCATCCATGAATCCTTGTGATTTTTAATTTTTCATGTAGGACTGTCACGAGAAGTAAGATTTTTAAATTTCCAGAACAGAAATAGGTAAGGGAAACATCTAAGTGTGACTCCTCCAAAATCACTCTTGCTTCCAATTTTGTCTGCTGTTATGGAGGTCAGCAACTAAGGGAAAAAAAGGAGAAAACACATTAAAAAAAAAAAAGCCTGAATGTAAAAATAATTGGACTAACCTGCCAATTATTTTACAAAGAAGAGAAGCCCTAGTGTAGTGGTCCTGAAACTTTCAGAGTCACAGAGCTTTGTAGAATCTGATGAAAATCACATCCCCCACGCTCCTATGGAGATACAAATATATACTTGTCTTTGCAGGTCATTTCAGGTGTTCAAAGACCCCCTGAAGCCCCACCTAAGGGTCCTGTTAAGAACCTCTGCTCTGGAGAATATTAAAATGTTGAGCCTCTGTTTTCTAAACTGTGAAGAGGATATAGCACTCACTCCCAGCCAGCTTCGTGGAAGAGAAGGAAGAGGCTACATAGACCTGTGCTGTTAAAACATATTGGTTCTCTGCCTGGCAGACATGTAATATTGATGCAGTTCTATTACCATCATCTGCCACAGTCGTTCCCTATTCTGCTTCATGGGATGTAAATTTCTTTACAAGACAGAAGCAGCCCTGTCTGTGAAATTCCCAAAGCAAACCCTTCTGGTAAGCCAGCACTGTAAGTTTTCATACTTGACTGTTAGAAATGTAATGAGTCCCCACGGAGACCAAAGGGAAGGCTGGAGGTAGCTCTGCAGGCTCTCAAAGGGTAATAATTGCTGGGGCAGGAACACACCAAATGATACCCTTGTGGTTTTAAAAGTCAATGCAACTTTCCAAAGAGTCCTACTTTCTCCCAGAGTAGGTTGCAGTACTTGAGAAATAAACCCACTGAAACAAAACGTTGAGTTTGGGGGAAAAGCTCCTGATATATCAGTTAAAAACTAAAAGCTTTTAATGTATCAGTAATATATTAAATAGAATCATCCATTTGGTGCAAGGAACCTAACTGCAATTTCTGCAAATATCACCAGTAAAATAAAGGGATTGGATTAGACTTTGTTGTCCTTTCATCTTCCTGGGTTTGCAAATCCTTTCAGAATTAGATATAAGATATGGTTTCTGGCCCCAGAAAATACATATTTACTAGACATGTAACTCTCACCTAATTTTACTTGCAATTTAGGGACTTTACAAAATCCTGGCAGTCCATTGTGGACGACCAGGTTCATGAAAGCTAAACTACCCATTCTCTAAGGCCTCTTCTGCCTTAATAGGCTTCAGAGACTTCAATTCCTTCACCATTTTGCAGAGCCTCTGCAAGGAGAGGAAGGAGCAAAGTGCTCTTCCTACAGCTGCTGTGAAAATAACCATGCTTTAAACACTCAATTTAGGTTATGTTTAGAAAGCATAGTCCAAATAAGCAGCTCTTCAGGACAATGGCATAAAACTACAACTTGACGTTTTTTTTTTCCTAGAAGACAGGGAATGAGAAGGATGGAAGGCCTGGATAGCGTAAGATAAAGAATGGGGTATGGTTGGAACACACAGATGGCACAGTCCTTGAAGAAGTGAGTGTTAAGGGTCTCAAGAAAGCGTGGGCAAGCAGCAATCTTGCCTCTGTGGGAAGTGGTAAGGGAAGCTACGCAGCTTCTCAACACACAGAGGGGTCCTTCGGACGGTACCTATAGCAGGCCTCGCTGTTGGTCATAAATATTGACTGCCCCTCCCTGAAAGAGGATGATATTTCTCCTTCTTCTTGACATTAGACTTGGCCATGCTATTTGCCCTGGCCAGTGAAATGTGCAGAAATGACATCTCTCACTTCCAGGCAGAAGATCTAAGAGCCAGCTCAAGTTTTACCATGTGCTCTTCTCCCCATCCACGAGGCTGGCAGGATTCTAGGCCTACTGCACCCTCAGTGAAGGGAACGTGGGGCAGCGCTGCAGTCAGCCTCTCAGGCATCAGGTGAGTGCAAGAAAATATTTTTGATATTGTAAGCCTGTGAGATTTTGGAGTTGCTTGTCACTGCCGCAGAGCC